>NC_000024.10:9116371-9403713 GCF_000001405.40 Homo sapiens | reverse complement strand
GAATTCAGAATTAGAAAGTAAACCCAGATAGAGAATAGAAAGATAGACGATACAGATGGAGAGAGTGTGGTGGGGAAGCAAGGGAAGGATGAAAGGGGTGTAAAGGAAGGAAAAGAAAAAAGGAAGGGAGAGAGAGTGACAGATGTTCAAAGACACAGATACAAAGTCTACAATGGTTGTAGAGATAGGCATGTGCAAATTGTCGCAGGGAGTGTGGAAAAATATCGGAACCACGGAGACATAGGTGGAGTCAGAGAAAATATACAAACCCGCACAGAGAAATAAACATACGCAACCACAAACACACACGTGCTACTTTAAACACGAAAAGACACCAAGTCCCTGTCGGTACAAATCACAGATGTGCTTCCGAGTTACTGAGGCACGGTGCAAATTTGTCAGTGCCCTTAGCATCTGTGGCCCACGTGCACGGATATTCAGTGGAAGAAGCATTACACAGCCTGTATAATTCAGCACGATCTGTGATAATACCAGAAGAAGGGATCTCATGTGAAATCACTAGACTGAATTGCACGTAGGATTCAAGGAAGAAGCCCAGTCTGCTGCATTCAGTCGGTGGGGTGGCAATATGGCTGAGCCACCAACCCGTGGCACGCCCATCCATCGTAGACAGTTCCTGGTTTGCTACCTGCCTTGGAAAAAGCTCCTCCCCTACCACCACTTTAAAACAGGCTAGCTCCAAAACTAGCCCTGGCATCTATTTACGGTCATTTTCTTATCTATTTACCTCCTAGAAAAATCATTGCAAGACCCTTTCCTCAACATTTTCCTATGCCTTAAATTTGGGGCAACACGTTTTAAGACGACCTCGTTATAGGCAAGTCCCCAGACGTTTCCTAATCTGAGTTGCCCAGAGTGCACACACCAATCTGTTGCCCCATTGCCGCTATAGGGATACCGTACTGGACCACAGTGTCTTTGACATGCACACAGTAGGATACAGGGCAGCTTGAGGGGGCCAAAGGGTTCCGACTGTTTTCAGAATAATTTGCTTAGAACACCTGTTTCTCCTGTGTTTGTGGGTCAGGGGGACGGTAGTCAGAGGAGGACAAGACTCCCGCTCCAGAGCTTCAGAGGTCTGCATAGGAGCAGGGACAAAACCGGGCGATAGATTTTCAAAGCTCAACTGCTTTGACACCGAGCAGGAGGGGTAGAATGCATATTGCAGGCACCACAACAGATTCAGGAACTTTGACTGTCAAACCCTCTTCCCTGAAACAACATAGCTCTTCTCACAGAAGCTGTGCTGACCAGAGTCTATACGGGACAGCAATGTTAGCACTCTAGTAGCGTGTGGTCAACATGGATGCTCGTGTTGGAACTGTTTCATCTGGGAACAGGAAAGAAAGTTCTGCCTCCGACACTGAAATCCTCCTGCCCCATCCTTGACAGAGGCAACCCCTTGTCTTGTGCAGACACACGTGTTCCTGGGAAGCAGCCTCCCACTCGCGAATGAAAGCTGTATGTTTTGTCCTCCTGTGTGAGGCTTGCAAAACATATTCCGCAACTATATTCGCTTTACGTTCTAAACCTTAGGCAAACTATGCTGAAGAGGCCACAGAAAATTTAGGGGCCCTGGGCTCCAGATACAATCTGCAGTGCCAATCACGAGGGAGAATAGAGCCTCACTAGACTTTGCAAGAGCACAAAATGCACTCGTACTGTTGTTAGCTACATACGTTATTGGCTCCTCACCTAACACAGAATCTTGGAGAAAAGCTTAAAACAACTAAAGATGTAAACATCAACAAGAGTGTCCATATCCTGGGTCATCAAGTGACAAGAGAGTCCATGGATGGATTCTCCAACAATCTTATATTCCACTAATCCACCCCCTTTCCCCTCACTTCTGTAAGTTTCTGTTTTCCCTTAGTCATCTCTGCCAAAAGCGTATGCTGAATGCCTTCCCACATGCCTCTGTCACCTTTCCCACAGTCCCTCCATACACCTTACATGCCCATTTCTTCTCACGTTGATGTTTCAGAAGTCCTGAGAGGCTGATTGTCCCAGAAAAGGATCATGCATTCACCTTTAAAAGAACATGTGGATTCAACACGAAAGCGAACTTTAAGATTTCCATCATCCTGTGCTTAGCTACTGTGTATGATGATACCCAAAATGAAGGATTTTGGAGGTCCCAGCAAACTGGGCCCTGGAAACCCAGTAACCCCTTTCCTTGAACTATCTCTGCTTCCACAGGACGAAGTCAGCCTCCAACTAAGCTGTCTTTTGCTTTTACCTCTCCCACTCTGTCCTGTAGGAAGAATCCCAACACATCCCACACCCATTCACTCTACAACTTTAGAGGCCCAGCTCCAACGCAGACTGGTTATTTCCATGAAGAGAATAAAGCACGTGGATTGATCAATTCATTATGACACCCGAATAAAGTGGATAAACATACACACACACACACACACACACACACACACAAACACAAAGACACACACACACACACAGACACAGAGTCACACATCCTTGAGAATGTTTATTTTTCATTCCATACAATCCACATTTACCCCCTCTTCCTGAATTTTTGTGACTCGATCTCTTTTTCCTTTAGTTCCTGTGCATAAGACCATGCTGAGTACTGCCGTCCTGCATATGGCTGTAACTTTTTAGGAGTTCTGCTGTATTAGGTAAAATCTGATGCTCCATCATATTCAACTCAACAACTGGGAGTCCCCTAGAGAAACACAAACTCATGTTAAAACGCATTTTCTCTGAGCCATACTTTGAAATGTTTCAATTGTGGGGCCCGCTGAGAAAAGGATATCCCTTCCCCATTTGTGATCCCTTAAACTTCCTCCTACCACGTGTTACAAACTGTTCTGCGCAATCCCTGCCCCATTCCCAGTATTGTCTGTGAGGGGAGTCAGCTAACAAGATGCACTGGGCCCTAAAAGCACACACAAGTCTGATGGGGCAACAGCTTAAGGAAATCCATCAATCTAAACAGTCCTTTGTGGTTTGGGGCAAGGATGACCAGGACGCACATTCAGGGAGCCCAATCTCATGGGGTTGGTGGGATGACTGCCGGTGGGGTTGACAGCCGTGGAATCAAGTGCCACAGACTGAACTGAATGATTTTCAGCTTTACTTCTCATTGATTCTGGAAATGGACGATTCTTCACTGGGCTTAAGACTCCACAGCTATCACCCGCTTTGCAGTGCAGTCTCTAACGTGCCTTTTCAGCCCAATGCCATGAACGTCCTGGATTCTGTCACTCTCTGTCTTCCTCTCAAGGAATTTCTACATGTACGAAAGGAGCCTCAATTTCTACATTTCTGAAATGAGCACCCAGGCTCCCTGAATAGGCAGGTGTGTCAACCCCCTTATACTGGGCATCAAACAGCTCCAGTGCCAACTAACGGCTCACCTGACGTCTCTGTTCCCTCTTCAGGTGGCTTCATCCTCTTGTAGTATTGCAGGGGATTGCGCCACAGGTCCTTACATAGGATCTGTCAGGGGACTCAATCGGGAAAGGCCTCATCAGGGCTCAGAAAGGTGACCCAAGCAGCTGGGAACACACGGGGTCATTCCTCATGTTTCCCAGTGAGGACTCACCTCAGCAATCTTGTTAGATCCTGCGAAGTTGTGGTCAGAGAACCAGTTGAAGAAGTTAAGGCTGCTGTTGTGGTGTCTGCGGCGATACGCCTCCACTTCATAATCCGGATACCACTCAATTGGAGTGGAATGAGAAGCCCTGTATTCTACAGAGACAGGAGTTTTTGTGGGAAGGGGGCTGGATCCCGTTGGCAATGATCCACCCACCATCTTCCTTCCACTACCCATCCTGGGAGCCACCTGTCACCTGTGATG
Organism: Homo sapiens; assembly: GCF_000001405.40. NCBI lineage: Eukaryota > Metazoa > Chordata > Mammalia > Primates > Hominidae > Homo > Homo sapiens. Next base: position 9,399,869 of record NC_000024.10, on the reverse strand, counting down.
TTCACCAGATATTCCTTGGTAATCACTTTATTCTGGAAGTAGGGGTTACTCCGAAAGAACAACATGATCTTGCAGAGATGAACAGGATGCTTCTCTTCTTCCACCTGTCAGGACAAGGTGGAGAAAGCTTAGATAGGTTTTCGGGTGAGGTGCTCACTCTTGCTTACAGGAATGAATTATTTCCCTTACCCTCCCCCGCTAAACCCTCCAGCCCCAGTCTTCCTGGCCTCACCTCCAGGCTGACCATGTAGCTCAGCATGTCTTCATCTTCGTCAGTGATCAGGGCTGACATCTGGGGGTGGTTTGCAATCTGATTTAGGTCAAAGAGACTTTACACACGATGGAAGGGAAAGCGAGGAGCAACAGGGAAGAAGGCCTAAGAGCACCCAGAGGCTGGGGTAGGGGATTTCTCAGATCTGCTTCCATGTATGATCTCCTTTCGCCTCCCCCTCCCCGTAAACTAAGGCCTCCTGTGTTCACAGAGGGTGTATGATTCTGAGGCTGACTGCACTGACATGGGGAGGCGCGATTTGCAGAGACTTGCTGGTGTCTGAGGAGTGGCAGAATCTGCTTATAGCCGAAGACGCCCAGTCCCAGATCGGACTAGCAAGGGGCAGCAATCACACTCCCTTAAAAATAGCTTCATTCACTGAAAAACCTCTTCCGCTCTGAACTCGCTTCTGCTCTTCAAAAAGATGCCCCAAACGTCTGCTGCTCGGCATCACCAAGGGTTTCTCTGCCGCATGCAGGACAATAGTACCCACGCCTGCTCCGGCTTTCCACAGCCACATTGGTCCGTGGCAACTCCCCTTTGTTCCCCAAAGAGTCACATCGACGCCGAGCTGCCCATCGGTCACTTACACTTCCCCGAGAGCACCTCTCCACTAGAAAGGCCGAAGAAACACTGAGAAGGATACAACATTGGCCCAGAAGCCAGGGACGCTCTGGATGACGGCGCCTCTGCGGTCTAGGTGGGGCTTGCGCCTCCGCTCCATCTTTTCCCGCTGCCGAGAAAAGGCCTTCCTGGCTTGGGCATTAACCGGCTCCAGCTCCACCTGAACGGCCAGCAGCTCCTCCAGTGCAGACTCTGGGGTCATGGGCCCAGGGCCAGGCACAGCCTGCTGTGCCCGCTGGGCCTCCTCCCGCCGCTCCACGAGGCCCTCCTCCTCCGCCACCACCTCCACCTCCGCCATTATGTCATCCAACAGCAGCACCGCCTCCTCCCCCAAAGCCGCCTGCTCACTCTCCACCCCGGCCGCCCCCTCCTGTACAGCCTCCATCCTGAAGGCGGTGCCCTCCTTGGCACTCGCACACACCAAGGCCTGTGCTGCCCGACCCACGCCACAGAAACCCTGCCGCAGCCTCTCTGGCACCCGGTAGGTCAGCGAGCCCTCAGGGCGCATGCGCCGGGCTTCCAGGCGCCCCCTAAGGGACTGCGCGCGAAGGGCCGGGGGGCCGCACCCAGGCCGACTTCCTCCCGTCGTGGCCAGTCAATGGGAGGGCGGTGGGCGTCTCCCTGGGCGGCACAGCCACTGGCGGGCCTGCATCTCCAGCCCCCCCACCCCCCGCCTTCCCTGCCCAAGCCTCCTCCGAGAAGCCCTTGGAGCTTGTGCCGGGTAGCTAGGCATCCGGGCACACGCGGGCTGCGTGGCCTTTGGAATTGTGGGCATGGCAGCCCTGTGCCCTGACATCCTCAGTGTGGCAAGCCATGAACATCTCTATGTGTCATGAACACAGGAAACATCTCTCTTCGTTAGGCAGGCCAGGTAGATGGTACGGAGGTAATACAGCAGATGCAGAGAACTCTCTCTGGTTGCTGGGGCTAGGGCGGCAGGGGTGTCCTGGGGGAAGTGATCGGGGCGGGCACGTGGGAGGAAAGTCGCCTGCCGGTGCTGAGGTGGAATTGATCTGCTGTAGAGGCCAGAGCCCCGGCACACACTCTCACAGGTCGAGGCAAATAGAGGCTCCGAGTACCATGCTTCCTCCCTGAGGATGCTGTACTCCAAGGAGCATTCCAAAGGGCCTCTTGTCCTATGCCCTGGGCACACCAGAGGCCAGCCGCCAGGGTTGGCCATTGTCGGCCTGCGCGCACGCTGTTGTGCGCTGCCTTGACGACCCAGAGGCTCCCGCACCCGCAGCAGCGGTTGCGGTGCCTGTTGGTGGGGCTCTGCAAGCCCAGGGCCGGGGCCTCTGGCTCCCGAGCTCCTGTGCGCAGTTGAGCCTGCTGGGGACCGGAGCCCTTTGGCCAGTGCGGGATCTGCGGGTCCAGCGGAGCTCCTCAGGAAACCTGGGTCCACGTAGGTGTGGGACCAGGTTCACAGCAGGGCGACGCCCGTGGGTCTTGCAGGGAGCGGGTCTGCTGGGGAGCGGGCCCCCAGAGCCTACGGGTGCGGGGCATGGGCTGGGCTGGGCTGGGCTGCGCAGGCCCAGGGTCTGTGGGAGCACCCAGGAGAAAACCGTGTTCAGGCTGGAGGCAATGCTGGAGAGGACGGCCGGGGTACAGAGCAAGGAGGCGGCCTTGGAAGAGGAGGCGGTGCTGAAGGTGGAAGACATCATGGCTGAGGTGGAGGTGGTGGTTGAGGTGGAGCCCGACGTGGGGTGGCAGAAGGAGGGCCAGCGGGCACAGCCTGGCCCTGGACCGAGCACACCGGGGCCGTCAATGGACTCGCTGGAGGTCCTTCACTTGGAGCTGGGCTCCGTGAATGCCCCAGGCCACAGAGCATCTCCGCCTTGTGAGCCAGAGCCATATCCTTGCGGCTGCCGATTTGGGACGGCGGGCAGCAGGGGATAGTCATCGGGCCTCGGGGGGTATGGGGGCTGTTTGGGGGGAGGAGCCAGGTGGGAGGCACGTGGGGTCAGCCAGGAGGCAGGGGATGGGGGACAGCGTGGGAGCCGAGGCCACGTTCCCGCAGCTGTGAGGGCAGCTCGCTTGTAGCAGCCCTGGGAGCACGTGGTAGGGAAGGGGAGCCAGGGCCAGCACTGACAAGGGAGAATCGCGGCGCCAAGGTCCCTTTGCGCACAGCCCAAATTCGAAGGACGCGTTTCCCTGGGAACGTCCCTGGAGGACGGGGAATCTGTATGCCATTACCAGCCATTGAACCACCCCTGCTCTCGGTGCCTGTTTCCAGCAGGCTCACCCCAGAAACGCAAGGTGCTTAAGACGGGTTCGCGGCGCATGGGGCTGCCGACCACCTGACGGCGGGCACCAGCTCCGCAGATGCGCATTCATCCAACTGCAGGCGCTGCACTCAAAGGCGTGTAGGCCCTGAGCCTGTATAACTTCCTCTGGACCCACGCAATTCCCTTGGAGAGCGCCAGGCACGACCCTGCTGTGGCTTCTAACTACAAGGCTTCCCTCAGGTGGACAGGCCCACCCCTCAGGGAGACTAGGATAAGAGGACACCACACACCCGGACATCAGCGGAGCATGTCCAGCACCCAGCACACAAAGGCCTCCTGCATCTCAGAAACTCAGAGAAGCAGCCGCCTCACACCACCCCCGGCCCCTCCCGTCCCTCAGCTGCAACCACCTGCCCACTTTTTCTGCCTCCCGTCTCTGGTCAGCCCAGGCCGTCTTGGCCGGGGTCCACCCACTCCAAAAACCACCACAGTTGTGGCGTTGCCTCCTCGCCAGACAGAGATAGAGGGCCAACAATGAAGGGTGACTGGCCAAATGTCTGGGAGATGGCCCTGTTCCACATTGTCTGTGTTCTTGCGAAATTGCAAGGCGTCACGAGGCTTGCCCACCCAATCCTCTGGAGAGTTCTTGCGCAGAGGTAGATTGTTTGGCACACGAGATGTCGGCGTGGGTCGGAAAGCATGCGGAAGTCCTGCTTTGCTACGTGATGGATTTGCAGGTCAGGCTGGGGAGCCTGGGTCTGTGGGAGGAGTCCAGTGTCTGAGTCAGTTTGAGGTCCCCCTGGGGACCAGGGTTGTCTCAGTGGGAGAGCTGGGAAGGGGAAACTCATGGTTCACTACAGCTAGTAGGCCACCTCAGCCCGGCTAGTTGAGATGGTCCCATTGAATCCATCCTCTTTCTCCTTGATCCGGCAGGTGGAGGAACTCAGCCATCCCGGTTACCGGTGGCAGGATGATTTCCTTTCATCCCAACCTTTATTTCCACAGTGAAATCATCATGAAGGAGCACTGTGTTGGCATCCTCGGTAAGGAATGCCTCCCAGCATGGTAGGGGAGCTGGTGTGTGGGAGGGTGGGACTGGCATGAACCTTCCTGACTCCTCTCCCTGCAGGCTACAGGGTGTCTCATTCCACTGCAGTCCAGCGGTTCTGGGATCACGAAGGTCAAGCCTCCAGCTGCAGGCAGTACACCTCCTACCTGAGCTCATTCAGCTGTTTGGCTGAACATGACTGCCCGGGTTTTGGCAGGATTGCTGAGGTGGGGTTCGCCGTGGGGCATCATGGGAAAGGACCTAGCTGGTCATTCCTTGGTCTCTGGGGAATTGGCTTTGAACTGTCACCTGAACTGTCCTGGACCCACTTCTGCAGTCCCCTAGATCATCAGCCAGGGCCTATGGCTCAATCCATTGCAGTTCTATCCCATGGAGAGAGGGTCAGCCCTAGAGGCGGAACAGAGAGGAGGCCAGGCGAGCAGCCTAGGGCTGGGAAGGGCTGGGAACTGAGAGGCCTTTTGACCTGGATCTGGGCCCCACATGGAGAACCCAAGGATCCGGGAGGAGACTGCAGTGAGCAATCCCAGGCAATCCGTGGGTTGGGGGAGAGAGGCCCATCAGGGACATGTAACACCCACATTTCAGGATCGGGGCACCTTAAGCCACTATGATGCATATGTGGCTAAAGTCAGTGGGTGACAAGCAGGGCTTAAGGGATAGCTGTCTCATCATTACTCGCCAGCTCCCTGCCCTGCGGTAAGACCTGCTACCACCTGGGGCTCATTTTGAGATCAACCAGGGCCCCCTTTTTCTCCACGAGGATGTCCACCTGAGGCCCACCTAGGTGTATGTCCTTTCACAGTGTTTCTCCCAGGCCAGTCATGTTTTGTTTCCATGACCCCGGCTGCCTTGACATGTGTAATCCTCTCTGCCATCCTCACTCCCGCTGCCCTGCCTTCCCATATAAGTTAGTCCACCTCACACGGAATCTGGAGGACCACACTGGGCTCCAGTGTGAGGCAATGTTTTATTTTCTTCAGGTACATGTATTTTAGGGCTACCTCCAGGGCTGGGAATGTGAAGAGATTGCCAAATGGCTGGGGACCTTCAGTGTGTGTCCAGGGAGGGAACCTGGCTGGGAATTAAGGCCCACCTGAGTAATGGTATGGACATCCAGTGTCAGTTATCTTGATAAAGGCCTGCTTTCTTACATCACCTACTATTAATATAAAAGTTAATTCCTTAGAATATTGAAAAAACAAATCTATGTATGAAGAAATATAATTTGTTCATAATTGTATGGAAAAAACTGCCGACTGATCCATTTTCCATTACAATTCTTATGGGAGACTTGAAGTGTTCGGCAAGTTTTAAGATGCATTTCTATTCGTCTACTCCTGCCAGTTTTTATGATCATTTTTGTAATACAAGGACATGGCCTCTGGAAAGTTTTTGAGGGACTTTCAGCTTCTTTTAGGGTAGATACTTGTAAATTTTGAATTGTTTTCCCCTGCGGTTCTTTTGAGGTTACTCTTTGTACTTTCTTTGGGGGGTGTTAAATTTGTTTTCTTGTTTCGCCCTTGTGGAACTTTCGTTTTCAAGGAATTGTGTGTGTGTGTGTGTGTGTGTGTGTGTGTGTGTGTGTGTGTGTTAGATATGGGAGTTAGCCTGTGAGCATGTTTTCGAATACGGATTTTTTTTTTACTTATCAATTTTGGGGGTGTATGTGTGTGTGTGTGTGTGTGTGTGTGTGTGTGTGTGTTTGTTTCTTTTCAGTTGGAGTCTCACTGTGTCATCCAGGCTGCAGTCAAGTGGCAAACTCTCAGATCACTGCAACCTCTCCCTCCAGCTTCAAAGGATTCCTCTGCCTGCTGATGCTGCTTTTCCCCCACATGAGGAGAACATGCAGACAGTTATAAAAAATTCTGTGCCTGGGTAGGTATGAAAATATAATTTCAATGAATGGTAAATTTCACAAATACAGTTTCACATTTGTATTTTGCAACATTTTGAAAATTTTAGTTGCTGACACATGAAATTCTGTGTTGACTTTCATGTTAAAGGTACACTTTTGAATCAATTTCAACAGTGACAACTAGCGAAGGCCAAGCGTTAGTTCAGGAAGCTGAAAGCAGTCGTTCTGTAAAAAAAACCATATTTATTGAAGGTATATTTAGAGAGATTTTAGAAGGCTTCAGTCAATATTTTTGTTTCTGTTGCTCTGGTGTTTTATCATACAGGGACCAGACTGTAGCATCAGTAGCTATAGTTACAAGGCTACCAAAGACTCAGTGCTATAGAAATTATTATTGTGGAAATTGGCAGCCTGGCTGTCTGTTTGAGGAGACTAGAGGACTTAGGAGTTTCCACCCAAAGTACAAGGGCCTGGTTTAGTGGGTGGCCTTCTTTTGCTGAAGTAGATAAGATCCAGGAGAAGGGTGGATTCACTGTAGTAGCCAGGGCTTTGAGACTGGTAAAGCTTATTTGTCTCCTAGTGCCATTGCCAGATATTGGTCTGTGCATAAAGGCACTTCCCGGACTCGCTGACTCCTGTAAATTCAAATGTAGAATTTAGATTTAAATCCCTATTCCAACTTCTTAAACTTAGATCTAATAGGTGGGTAATAAAATATGTATTCAGAAGAAAGGGAGACGTCAGGTAGGTATATAAGCAAATCATCCTGGTCAAATACCTTCAAAAATATTACTACAAAAAATTACTGAAGATTAAACCTTAAAAAAGTTATTTTAATTGGAGAAACAGAAAAAGGTTGGAGTCATTTTAAACCCTGAGGTGTAAAGGTACTGTTATTAGATTACAGGAATTATATACAATGAATAATTTGTGGGAAGAGCAGCATACTATCTCTTTAGTATGGCTAGAGATTCATAAGCCGTGTAAGAAAACTCAGAGATTGAGAAGAAAATGTTCTCAGGGATTTTGTTCTGTTATGAAAGACTTTTAAAATGGTTTCCTACTGATCAATGATTCACTTATATTTATCACTGAGGCATATGCTATATACCCTTCTATATAGGGATGAAGTTATAGTTTCTATCATGTAGATACAAAAACATGTGACTCTGTACCACATTTGCATTAGAGCCTTTGGCATGATTAATGAAGCAAACGGTGGAACTGTCTACGTCAGGTTACAGGTGGGCACAGCTGGAAGCTTCCGTCCCTTGCACTTTAACATTTCTGCATTCTCATCTGTCTCTCCTGGAAAGAAAACGGACTATAACTATCCTAAAGGACATATGTTACATGAAGACACTAAGTATTGAGATAAGACCATGAGTTGTCTTATCAGTGTCTTGGCATTACATTTATATGTATAACTTATACAAAAAATCCAGTTTATTTTATCACGATTACATATTACATCCCACATTTATGTATTTTATTATCTTTCCAGTGACTGTTTTGTTTTGTTTTGTTTTGTTTTGTTTTGTTTTGAAATCTCGTTCCACTCTGTCACTCAGTCTGGAATGCAGTGGCCTGATCTCAGCTCACTGCAACCTCCATCTCTTGGGTTCAAGGATTTTAAAAATTAGTAAAGAATTTTCAATTGAGTTAGCAGAAGTAAAAATAAACTTAAGTGGAAATAGAACAACAAAATTGTAAACACTATTTCTCAGCAATTCATAGATTATCATACTAGGAATTGAAATGTACTTAGAACTCAATGATACCGCCAATATTAAAGATTAAATCTGTGAGTAGCAAGAAAAGTGATATTACAATAGGAGTTTACAGACAAATATTTCTCTAATAACTTGAAAATTAATGTACTAGATATTTCAATAAAGAATTAGAAAAGAAACAACAGAATCAATTCTGAAAAACTAAAGTGTGGGAATAATGATGTAGACAAAATTAGTAAAACATACAAAGCTAACCTTTGCTTGTTGGAGAAATATAATAAATGATGCAACCGTCAGTCAAGTTTAGAAAAAAAGGGAGAAAACATAGATAAAACTAAGAATTTAAAAGGTACACAACCATAGATACAGCATAGATTAAGAAGCTAATAAGGAAATATCGTTAACACCTTAACCTACAAATTTGAAAACTTAGATCAAATAGACAGATATTTATAATCTGTCTCTATATATAGACATATATATCGCTTTCTATATATATTTTCATATTTATACATAATTTTTATATTTGTATCTTACATTTATATATATAATATATAAACATAAGCTATGTATATAGCTTAGTAAAATTGATACAAGAAGACATATATAATCTGTATAGTCTCATAAATGTCCAAGGAAATAAAGGATTCTTCCTAGAGATAAAACGCTAGGCTCAGATTTTTTTCCCCAGGCAGAGCATTTCAATATATATGAAGAATTCTATAGAATAAAAAAGGGAAAATCCTAAACTCATTGTGTGAAGCAAGCAGAACTTTGACGCCAACAAGACATAAACTGAGTGTAGAAAAAGATATGAAAATTAAGGCCATTCTCATTCCTGAAGCAAATCGTAAAATCCCAAATGTAACAAGATTTATGTGGATTCTTTGAGGGTTAGAAGGAAATTTCCTTCTGCCAGATCCTGCTACTCTGGGACAACCCACACACAAATTTATGTTTTGAGATTTTCTGTAATACCCATGCAATATGGAACTGGCTTGACAATCTGTGTGATAGCCAGCCTGTGGCCATGACTTCTCAGGGACACAAATCTTTTCTGTTTGCCTCCTTGTTCTGCTCAGCTCCAAGAGAACTTTGACCAAAGTTCCTTGAGCTTGGAAATAGGAATGGGTTTGCTTCTGTTTCACCCTTACTGTGAAGATACAGTCCGGTGGAATCCAGATCCACTGGGAGAGAGTCGGCTATTAAACTCTTTTCATGAGTAGTCCCTAGGCCTTGACTGGAGTCTTTCTTGAGATATGAGGCTAATAGTTCCTTCTTGGTCCACCACTTTTTGATATAATTAATGCTTCTTCTATTGGGAATTTTTAATTGTTTGGGAAGTGACATGGTTTGGTGTGTCTCCATTCAAATCTCAGCTTCAATTGTATCTCCCAGAATTCCCTCGTGTTGCGGGTGGGACCCAGGGGGAGGTAATTGAATCATGGGGGTCGGTCTTTCTCATGCTATTCTTGTGACAGTGAAGAAGTCTCACGGGATCTGATGGGTTTTTCAGGGGTTTCTGCCTCAGGTTCTTCCTCATTCTCTCTTGGCATTGCCATGTAAGAAGTGCCTTTATTCGTATACCATGATTCTGAGGCCTCCACAGCCATGTGGAACTGTCAGTCCAATTAAACCTCCTTTTATTCCCAGTTTCAGGTATGTCTTCTTCAGCAGCGTGAAAATGAACTAAGACAGGAGGTTTGGTCCAAATAACCTTGGCTTCCATGACAGAAGATAGAAGTTGCTGAAATGTTTAATCTTTTCTGTGGCAACCTTTTGCAGTGGGTCTTATTTTTCTCATTTTTTTTTTCTTGTTCTCTTCACCTTTGTTTCTCACAGGGTACTCTCGCTCTGTAGACCAGGCTGGAGCGCAGTCGCAGGATCTCAGCTCAACACATCCTCCGCCTCCCAGGTTCAGCCTCTGCAGTAGCTGGGATTACAAGCATGCATCACCACGCTCAGCTAATGTTTTGTATTTTTAGCAGAAGCCAGGCTTCACCATGTTGGCCAGGCTGCTCTCCTACTACAGATCTCAGGTGACCCGCCCGACTCAGCTTCCCAAAATCCAAAGTGCTGGGAATACAGGTGTGAGCCACCGAGCCCAGCCAACTCCAGTACTTTTTACCTAAGCCAGTGGACGAGTGGAGTTGCCTTTATTTTTTTTTTTTTCTTTTTTCAGTCATGGTCTCGCTGTGTCATCCAGGCTGGAGTGCAGTAGTCTGATCTTGGCTTACTATACAATCTCTGCCACCCATGTTCAGGTGGTTCTCCTGCCTCAGCCTCCCAAGTAGCTGGGACCACAGGAAAGTGCCACTAGGTCTGGCTAATTTTTGTATTTTTGGTAGAGACAGCTTTTTGCCATGTTGCCCATGCTGGTCTCCAACTCCTGACCTCAAGTGACCCACCAACCTCGGCCTCCCAAAATGTAGAAATTACAACAAGAGCCACGAAGCCTGGCCTGGAGTTGTGGCTTTTTGACATAAGAAATCTGTGGAGGGAAAAGCTTGGTTTGTGGGAGCACCCGAGCTCAGTTTGGCTCAAAGGTTTGGGATACCTATTATTGAGTGGCAGTGATGGTATGTTGTTAATGTACAATATGTTCCTGTATATAGCATACGTCTATGCTCATCAGATATTTTCAGGTAAAAAAAAGATAGTCTTTCCAGTAGTTTGAGCCATTATAGCAATTTCCACCAGGGGATTTCAAAGTCCAATTCCAGTTGTGGGCAACAGTGATTAACATAATGGTAATTAATGAGAAGAGATTTTGAGACGTCCAGCCACGTTTCCATGTCAGTGCCTTGTTTGCAGTATTATGAAGAAAGAGTGCATTGGACTAGATACTAAGAAAAACATTGAATTATTTTTCTTGCCTCTATAACATCAAAGGACAATTAGAGATATAGAAACTATGGAACATTTCACAGCATGGCTTGACATTTCACTGAACTTTTATCCTTTTAACCATGTACAAAGTTTGTTACCTATGCAAAGGTAGGACTGCAAAAGGAAGACAGAGGTGGAGTCAGAGGTCACAATCCACAGCAAGGTGACACTCTTGTTGATCGCACCTTGAAAGCCAAATTAGAGCGAGAATTAACTTTCCGGTTGCCGTAAGAGAACAAGGAGAATGAAGCTACCAGCAGTTAACAGTATTGGATTAATTGAAATGAAGGTGGACAGAGTTTTTTGGCTTTCCATCAAATTGAGTAAAGAAAAGGTAACCGCTTATCTAATTTCACACACATACAATTATGGATTAATTAAAAGATTACACAACCCATATATTATGGGTTTCTCATATAAGTGTATATATACATGGGCAAACTCACAGTGTGCCAGTATGTGTCTATATCCAAATATATACAAATCCATGTCCAACAGTTAGCAAGTGAGAAATTCTCTTCCATTTCACCATTCCCTTTCCTAGAATTTTTTCATAAATATAATTTTTCCATATATTTGAAGCCTACTCTCTGGAGGCATGTAATGCATGCATGCAGTAAACCTGTGCGATATCACAATGTTGGTGTCAGAGAAAACTATAACACCGATGTTATAAAAGATTAATTGTGAGGAGAAAGTTATGCTTCGCATTACTACAAATACACAAGTATGATTTCATCCAAAGCTGAAATCAGTCAATATAATTTGTTTTTAATGTTTTATTTAAAATCCTTAATTTCAACAGGATTACTCAAGAAAAATAACGTTATTGGTATTAAATAATGTTGATGTATTCCCTTTAATTGTTGATTATTTAAAATGTCAGTAAAATAGTAAATGGCACTGTACAATGTAGTTTCATGAAGCATTCTTTATAGTTTTCATAAAATTGATAGTCTCCATGGAATATTTTAAGACTGAGGAAGTTCCATATATCATTTGATTGTACTTTCACTTTATTACTTGCTTGCATGTCATAACTGATGGAAATAAAACTATGTATATTTACAAATATGAAAAACATGGATTTTTGTTTACGTTTTCTAGTGAGACACAGTTACCAATAATTTTATCTATATAGGAAAATTTTTACAAACCCAAAGTTCTAATGTTTCTTTTCTTTGAAGTTTCGTATTTCAGTCTAGGTATGTAATGGAATTGGCTGTGATCATTCTTTGATTTCACTGTTATTTGTGAGTTTCTGATATGCTTTTAGGAATGAATAGAGTTTAACGCTTGCTTTCTTCTTCTTCCTCTACCTTTGGACCTGTATATGCGATGTCTGCAGTAATGTGCAGTGCTATCTGACATACGGTTGCTGAAAGATACAAGCATATATAGAATTCTTCGTTTCAGTGAATCTTTAGGAACAGACAAGTAACCTGAGAGATAATTACGGTATGAATGTAAGCAAGCAGTTTATCATAGAGGTACAATAAGGGTGAAAATAAATTTAAAAATACATGCCTCATCCAAAACATGAGGTAGTAAAAATGAAAAAATTTAAGTTGGCATAAAGAACACTTTAAAAGTTCTGATTCTTTCTGGTGAGAGCAAGGAGCTCAGAAACCATGAGAAAGTCCTTCAAAGCTGCATGTTGGATTTGCAGGTCAGGATGGAAAGCCTGGGTCTGGGGGAGGGTGCTAAGGTCCTGGTCAGGTTGAGGTCCTTCTGGGGCTCAGGTGTGTCTCAGCGGGAAAGCTGGGAAGGGGAAACGCATGCTTCACCCCGGCTAGAATGCCACCTCAGCCCACCTAGATGAAATTGCCCCTTCACAGCCCTGTTTCTCCTTCTTGGACAGGCAGGTGGAGGAACTCGGCCACCCTGAATACAAGGGGTAGGAAGAAGTTTGCCTTTCATCACAACATTTACTTCGGAAACAAAGTGATGACTAAGGAGTATTGCGTTGGCATCCTCCCTGAGGAGTAGAGGGGGTAGTACCTCGGGAGCTGGGCCTGGCGTGCGCCTTCCTGACTCGTCTCCCTCCAGGATACAGGGCGACTGGCTCCACTGCAGTCCAGTGGTTCTAGGGTCATGCAGGTGAAAGCCCGAGTTTCCCGCAGGTCACTGCCTGAGCTTCTTCAGCTGGTTGTCTGACTGTGAGGGCCCAGGTTACGGCACGATTGCTGAGGTGGGGCAGCTATGGGGCATCATGGCAAAGGACCTTCTTCGACATTCCTTGGCATCGGAGGAATTGGCTTTGAACCAGAACCTGACCTGTCACGACCAATTTGCCCAGTCCACCAGATCATCAGCCAGGGCCTGTGGCTCTATATTCTGCAGCACTACCCAAGGGAGTTAGGCCCTCAGAGAGGGAACAGAGAAGAGGCCAGGGAAGCAGCCCAGGGCTGGGGGTTGACAGGCCTGTGGGTCCTGGAGTTAGGACACACATAGAGAAGCCAAGGCTCAGGGAGGAGACTGCAGTAAGGAAACTCAGGCCATCATGGGCTGGTGGAGAAATGCCCATCAGGGAACTGTGGTACCCACATTTCACGATGGGGGAACCGTAATCTGCTTAATAGGCATAAGTAGCTAAGGTCAATGGGTGGGAAGCCAGGGTCAAGAGATAGCTCCCTCATCATCCCTTGCTAGCTACTTCCCTGTCCTGAGGCTTGCTTCTACCTGGGGTTCAGTTTGGGCTCAACCAGGGATCTCTCACCCTCCACACAGATGCCCACCTGAGGCCTCTCTAGGTCTGCGTCCTCCCAGAATGACTCTCCCAGGCCTGCTAAGTACCGTTTGGATGACACCACGCTCCACTGACATACTTGGTTCCCTCCGCCATCCTCATTCACCCAGCAACTCCCCACCCCAAAAAAGGCAGGCCACCGCACAGGGAATCTGGAGGACCACACAGGGCTCACAGGGGAGGAAATGTGAAGAGATGGCAAAACAGAACAGGACATTCCGTGTGTTTCCAGAAGGCAATCTGGCTGGATATTAAGGCCCACCTCAGTATTGGTGAGGACACCCAGTGTCTCTTGGCCCTGAGCTTGTGCACACAAACACGCACATTGTCTAAACGGCATTGACATCACTACTACCTGAGTCATCCTCAGATTCTATACAACCCCTGTAAAAATATCAATGACACATTCTTCTTAGAAAAACAATCTGGGAATCCCAAATTTGCTATGAAATGGCAGAAGATCCTGAAAACCCAGAGCAATCCAGTAAAAAGCACAAAGCTGGAGCCACCACACTACCTAACTTCATGATATACTACTACAAAACTTTTTGTACCAAAATACAATAGCACTGGCAGAAAAGCAGAGACTAGAGCTTAGGAAAAACAACAGGAGCCCAGAACTAAGTCACTGCATTTGCAGCTCACAGCCTTTTCCCAAAGAAGCAAGAACGCCCAATGCAAAATCAAGTATCTTCTATAAACTAGGTTGGGGAAATCTGAATAGCCACACAAAGGATTTTACAAGTGGATTATTTATCACCAAACTCCAGTGTCAGATGTGAAACGATAAAAATAGCAGAAGAGATCACAAGGAAGAAGCTCCATGGCGTCCATGTGTGCAATGATGGTCTCAAAGTGACTGCAAGAACACAGTAAACACTATCAAAAATAGAGAATGGAATCATATCAAACTAAAGTGCTTCACCACACCATAGAAAACTCAACATACAGAAGGGGCATCCTACAGGATGGGAGCAATGATTGGATCACCATACATCTGTTCATGGGGGAATAGTCACAGTACATAAGGAACTCCCAACAACTCAATAGCATGAAAACAAATGGGCGAAGGCTGCGAAGACTCATTTGTGAAACTGAGACATACAGTTGCCCAGAAGACACACTAAAAATTCCTCATTATCCCCAATCCATCACGAAAATGCAAATCAAAAACACAATGAGATTTCTTCTCACTTCAGTCAGAATGCATATTATCCGAAAGACAAACAAACAAAAAAAAAAAAAGAAAGAAAAGAAAACCCTAATCTCTGGTGAGGAGGCAGAGAAAACGAATTCCCTGCTCACTTTTGGGGAGAATGTAAATTAGTGCTGGCATTAAAGAAGCTTTATGGCTCTTATTTAAGTATAAACAGCCTTCAGAAATCTACAAGTAGAACCACCCACTATATGATCCAGCAAATCAGAATACCCGGGCACGCCCGCCAGTACACAGATCAGTATGTTGAAGCGGTGCGCGCACCCATGCAATTATTGCTGCACTCATTACATTTTTGCTGTAGCCAAAATGCGGAAGCAACCTGAGAGTCCCTCCATTGATAAGTGGATTAAAAAATGGGGCAAAAACGCATATGCGCAACGGAAATATGCGCTGCAATAAGAAATCAGGAAATCCTGCCAGTTGTGAGAATGTGTGGGAATCTGCTGAATGTGTGCATGCCATTCTGTTAAGTGACATAAGCCAGGTATCAGAAAGGAAAGTAGCACATGATCTCATTCTTATATGAAATCAAAAAAGCGGACTTCACAGAAGTAGTGACTCCAATGACTGCGGTGAAGAGGGTGCACTGACGAGATGCTGGATGAAGAACTCATACTTCTAGTTATAAAGGAGGAATAGGTTAAAAATATTTTCTTCAGCATGCTCACTATAACTAGTGGTAACATATTCTTTCTCTAAAAATATTCGAATACAGTGCAGGTCAAGTTTTTTCACAACAAAAATGACAACTATGTGAGGTCACACATATGTTGATTGGCTGGATGTATCCAATGCATAATGTATATGACCTGTTGAACATCACGCCTTAAGTTGTAAATATGTATCATTTCATATGACATTTTTTAAACAAACATACAATTTTTAAAATGCCTTAACAAAATAAATGCAAATAAAATATTTTATTATAAAGCAGTGCTTTTCTTTTCTAGCAAAGTCTTTTTCATGACACAGGAAAGAATGCAAGCCGTTTCGTAACTTGAGAAATAAATACATATGTGTACATGTATATATATACGTATATACATGTATATACGTATATAAATGTGCATATATACGTATATACATGTATATACGTATATATGTGTGTACATAGGTATTCTTATATAGGTATATATATATATATATATATATATATATATATATATATATATATATATATATATGAAAATCCCAATGAATGCTGATGATGAGTTGAAAGATAGAAATTCCAGGCACAGAGGCTATAGTCCATGAATTGAAACCTTCAGTGCATGTTTCAAAACAAGACGTGAGGAGGAGGAAGAAAAAAGCAAAAAACACAAAGCCATGGCAGGGCCATGGGTCACACCTGTCATCCCAGCACTTTGATAAGCTGAGGTGGGAGGATTGCCTGCACTCAGGAGTTCCAGATGAGCCTGGGGCAACATGGACCCACATTCAAAAAGTAAGTATTTAGTTAATTAATACATAGCTTGGAGGGGTGGCATGCACCTGTACTGCCAGGTGTGTGAGAGTCTGAGTTGACAGGATCACATGGGTGTGTGGTGCCTGGGCTGCAGTGGGCTGAGATCGTGGGGCTGCTGTCCAACCTAGAAGACAGAGTAAGACCCATTCTCGGAAAACAAACAAAAAAACAGTCACATTAGGTAAATTAAAACTATGTAGTGTGAGGAGAATCAAAATAAACGAAACATCATTAGAGCCTACGCGATGTGATGAAGGAAACCAGCTTTCACATAATAACAGCCCCGGCTGGGGAGAACAATGAGAAAGGGCAGAGAGAACCCTGTAAATAATACCACGCCAAATTCCCCAAATGAGTTAAAACACATAAAAGTACGAAGAGTGCTTCTTTTCAATTCAATGCCCTTGAATTCAGAATTAGAAAGTAAACCCAGATAGAGAATAGAAACATAGACGATACAGATGGAGAGAGTGTGGTGGGGAAGCAAGGGAAGGATGAAAGGAGGGGTGTAAAGGAAGGAAAAGAAAAAAGGAAGGGAGAGAGAGTGACAGATGTTCAAAGACACAGATACAAAGTCTACAATGGTTGTAGAGATAGGCATGTGCAAATTGCCGCAGGGAGTGTGGAAAAATATCGGAACCACGGAGACATAGGTGGAGTCAGAGAAAATATACAAACCCGCACAGAGAAATAAACATACGCAACCACAAACACACACGTGCTACTTTAAACACGAAAAGACACCAAGTCCCTGTCGGTACAAATCACAGATGTGCTTCCGAGTTACTGAGGCACGGTGCAAATTTGTCAGTGCCCTTAGCATCTGTGGCCCACGTGTACGGATATTCAGTGGAAGAAGCATTACACAGCCTGTATAATTCAGCACGATCTGTGATAATACCAGAAGAAGGGATCTCATGTGAAATCACTAGACTGAATTGCACGTAGGATTCAAGGAAGAAGCCCAGTCTGCTGCATCCACTCCGTGGGGTGGCAATATGGCTGAGCCACCAACCCATGGCACGCCCATCCATCGTAGACAGTTCCTGGTTTGCTACCTGCCTTGGAAAAACCTCCTCCCCTACCACCACTTTAAAACAGGCTAGCTCCAAAACTAGCCCTGGCATCTATTTACGGTCATTTTCTTATCTATTTACCTCCTAGAAAAATCATTGCAAGACCCTTTCCTCAACATTTTCCTATGCCTTAAATTTGGGGCAACACGTTTTAAGACGACCTCGTTATAGGCAAGTCCCCAGACGTTTCCTAATCTGAGTTGCCCAGAGTGCACACACCAATCTGTTGCCCCATTGCCGCTATAGGGATACCGTACTGGACCACAGTGTCTTTGACATGCACACAGTAGGATAGAGGGCAGCTTGAGGGGGCCAAAGGGTTCCGACTGTTTTCAGAATAATTTGCTTAGAACACCTGTTTCTCCTGTGTTTGTGGGTCAGGGGGACGGTAGTCAGAGGAGGACAAGACTCCCGCTCCAGAGCTTCAGAGGTCTGCATAGGAGCAGGGACAAAACCGGGCGATAGATTTTCAAAGCTCAACTGCTTTGACACCGAGCAGGAGGGGTAGAATGCATATTGCAGGCACCACAACAGATTCAGGAACTTTGACTGTCAAACCCTCTTCCCTGAAACAACATAGCTCTTCTCACAGAAGCTGTGCTGACCAGAGTCTATACGGGACAGCAATGTTAGCACTCTAGTAGCGTGTGGTCAACATGGATGCTCGTGTTGGAACTGTTTCATCTGGGAACAGGAAAGAAAGTTCTGCCTCCGACACTGAAATCCTCCTGCCCCATCCTTGACAGAGGCAACCCCTTGTCTTGTGCAGACACACGTGTTCCTGGGAAGCAGCCTCCCACTCGCGAATGAAAGCTGTATGTTTTGTCCTCCTGTGTGAGGCTTGCAAAACATATTCCGCAACTATATTCGCTTTACGTTCTAAACCTTAGGCAAACTATGCTGAAGAGGCCACAGAAAATTTAGGGGCCCTGGGCTCCAGATACAATCTGCAGTGCCAATCACGAGGGAGAATAGAGCCTCACTAGACTTTGCAAGAGCACAAAATGCACTCGTACTGTTGTTAGCTACATACGTTATTGGCTCCTCACCTAACACAGAATCTTGGAGAAAAGCTTAAAACAACTAAAGATGTAAACATCAACAAGAGTGTCCATATCCTGGGTCATCAAGTGACAAGAGAGTCCATGGATGGATTCTCCAACAATCTTATATTCCACTAATCCACCCCCTTTCCCCTCACTTCTGTAAGTTTCTGTTTTCCCTTAGTCATCTATGCCAAAAGCGTATCCTGAATGCCTTCCCACATGCCTCTGTCACCTTTCCCACAGTCCCTCCATACACCTTACATGCCCATTTCTTCTCACGTTGATGTTTCAGAAGTCCTGAGAGGCTGATTGTCCCAGAAAAGGATCATGCATTCACCTTTAAAAGAACATGTGGATTCAACACGAAAGCGAACTTTAAGATTTCCATCATCCTGTGCTTAGCTACTGTGTATGATGATACCCAAAATGAAGGATTTTGGAGGTCCCAGCAAACTGGGCCCTGGAAACCCAGTAACCCCTTTCCTTGAACTATCTCTGCTTCCACAGGACGAAGTCAGCCTCCAACTAAGCTGTCTTTTGCTTTTACCTCTCCCACTCTGTCCTGTAGGAAGAATCCCAACACATCCCACACCCATTCACTCTACAACTTTAGAGGCCCAGCTCCAACGCAGACTGGTTATTTCCATGAAGAGAATAAAGCACGTGGATTGATCAATTCATTATGACACCCGAATAAAGTGGATAAACATACACACACACACACACACACACACAAACACAAAGACACACACACACACACAGACACAGAGTCACACATCCTTGAGAATGTTTATTTTTCATTCCATACAATCCACATTTACCCCCTCTTCCTGAATTTTTGTGACTCGATCTCTTTTTCCTTTAGTTCCTGTGCATAAGACCATGCTGAGTACTGCCGTCCTGCATATGGCTGTAACTTTTTAGGAGTTCTGCTGTATTAGGTAAAATCTGATGCTCCATCATATTCAACTCAACAACTGGGAGTCCCCTAGAGAAACACAAACTCATGTTAAAACGCATTTTCTCTGAGCCATAC
Source organism: Homo sapiens (assembly GCF_000001405.40). Taxonomy (NCBI): domain Eukaryota; kingdom Metazoa; phylum Chordata; class Mammalia; order Primates; family Hominidae; genus Homo; species Homo sapiens. The sequence continues at coordinate 9,380,612 of NC_000024.10, read as the reverse complement.
TTTGAAATGTTTCAATTGTGGGGCCCGCTGAGAAAAGGATATCCCTTCCCCATTTGTGATCCCTTAAACTTCCTCCTACCACGTGTTACAAACTGTTCTGCGCAATCCCTGCCCCATTCCCAGTATTGTCTGTGAGGGGAGTCAGCTAACAAGATGCACTGGGCCCTAAAAGCACACACAAGTCTGATGGGGCAACAGCTTAAGGAAATCCATCAATCTAAACAGTCCTTTGTGGTTTGGGGCAAGGATGACCAGGACGCACATTCAGGGAGCCCAATCTCATGGGGTTGGCGGGATGACTGCCGGTGGGGTTGACAGCCGTGGAATCAAGTGCCACAGACTGAACTGAATGATTTTCAGCTTTACTTCTCATTGATTCTGGAAATGGACGATTCTTCACTGGGCTTAAGACTCCACAGCTATCACCCGCTTTGCAGTGCAGTCTCTAACGTGCCTTTTCAGCCCAATGCCATGAACGTCCTGGATTCTGTCACTCTCTGTCTTCCTCTCAAGGAATTTCTACATGTACGAAAGGAGCCTCAATTTCTACATTTCTGAAATGAGCACCCAGGCTCCCTGAATAGGCAGGTGTGTCAACCCCCTTATACTGGGCATCAAACAGCTCCAGTGCCAACTAACGGCTCACCTGACGTCTCTGTTCCCTCTTCAGGTGGCTTCATCCTCTTGTAGTATTGCAGGGGATTGCGCCACAGGTCCTTACATAGGATCTGTCAGGGGACTCAATCGGGAAAGGCCTCATCAGGGCTCAGAAAGGTGACCCAAGCAGCTGGGAACACACGGGGTCATTCCTCATGTTTCCCAGTGAGGACTCACCTCAGCAATCTTGTTAGATCCTGCGAAGTTGTGGTCAGAGAACCAGTTGAAGAAGTTAAGGCTGCTGTTGTGGTGTCTGCGGCGATAGGCCTCCACTTCATAATCCGGATACCACTCAATTGGAGTGGAATGAGAAGCCCTGTATTCTACAGAGACAGGAGTTTTTGTGGGAAGGGGGCTGGATCCCGTTGGCAATGATCCACCCACCATCTTCCTTCCACTACCCATCCTGGGAGCCACCTGTCACCTGTGATGTTCACCAGATATTCCTTGGTAATCACTTTATTCTGGAAGTAGGGGTTACTCCGAAAGAACAACATGATCTTGCAGAGATGAACAGGATGCTTCTCTTCTTCCACCTGTCAGGACAAGGTGGAGAAAGCTTAGATAGGTTTTCGGGTGAGGTGCTCACTCTTGCTTACAGGAATGAATTATTTCCCTTACCCTCCCCCGCTAAACCCTCTAGCCCCAGTCTTCCTGGCCTCACCTCCAGGCTGACCATGTAGCTCAGCATGTCTTCATCTTCGTCAGTGATCAGGGCTGACATCTGGGGGTGGTTTGCAATCTGATTTAGGTCAAAGAGACTTTACACACGATGGAAGGGAAAGCGAGGAGCAACAGGGAAGAAGGCCTAAGAGCACCCAGAGGCTGGGGTAGGGGATTTCTCAGATCTGCTTCCATGTATGATCTCCTTTCGCCTCCCCCTCCCCGTAAACTAAGGCCTCCTGTGTTCACAGAGGGTGTATGATTCTGAGGCTGACTGCACTGACATGGGGAGGCGCGATTTGCAGAGACTTGCTGGTGTCTGAGGAGTGGCAGAATCTGCTTATAGCCGAAGACGCCCAGTCCCAGATCGGACTAGCAAGGGGCAGCAATCACACTCCCTTAAAAATAGCTTTATTCACTGAAAAACCTCTTCCGCTCTGAACTCGCTTCTGCTCTTCAAAAAGATGCCCCAAACGTCTGCTGCTCGGCATCACCAAGGGTTTCTCTGCCGCATGCAGGACAATAGTACCCACGCCTGCTCCGGCTTTCCACAGCCACACTGGTCCGTGGCAACTCCCCTTTGTTCCCCAAAGAGTCACATCGACGCCGAGCTGCCCATCGGTCACTTACACTTCCCCGAGAGCACCTCTCCACTAGAAAGGCCGAAGAAACACTGAGAAGGATACAACATTGGCCCAGAAGCCAGGGACGCTCTGGATGACGGCGCCTCTGCGGTCTAGGTGGGGCTTGCGCTCCGCTCCATCTTTTCCCGCTGCCGAGAAAAGGCCTTCCTGGCTTGGGCATTAACCGGCTCCAGCTCCACCTGAACGGCCAGCAGCTCCTCCAGTGCAGACTCTGGGGTCATGGGCCCAGGGCCAGGCACAGCCTGCTGTGCCCGCTGGGCCTCCTCCCGCCGCTCCACGAGGCCCTCCTCCTCCGCCACCACCTCCACCTCCGCCATTATGTCATCCAACAGCAGCACCGCCTCCTCCCCCAAAGCCGCCTGCTCACTCTCCACCCCGGCCGCCCCCTCCTGCACAGCCTCCATCCTGAAGGCGGTGCCCTCCTTGGCACTCGCACACACCAAGGCCTGTGCTGCCCGACCCACGCCACAGAAACCCTGCCGCAGCCTCTCTGGCACCCGGTAGGTCAGCGAGCCCTCAGGGCGCATGCGCCGGGCTTCCAGGCGCCCCCTAAGGGACTGCGCGCGAAGGGCCGGGGGGCCGCACCCAGGCCGACTTCCTCCCGTCGTGGCCAGTCAATGGGAGGGCGGTGGGCGTCTCCCTGGGCGGCACAGCCACTGGCGGGCCTGCATCTCCAGCCCCCCCACCCCCCCGCCTTCCCTGCCCAAGCCTCCTCCGAGAAGCCCTTGGAGCTTGTGCCGGGTAGCTAGGCATCCGGGCACACGCGGGCTGCGTGGCCTTTGGAATTGTGGGCATGGCAGCCCTGTGCCCTGACATCCTCAGTGTGGCAAGCCATGAACATCTCTATGTGTCATGAACACAGGAAACATCTCTCTTCGTTAGGCAGGCCAGGTAGATGGTACGGAGGTAATACAGAAGATGCAGAGAACTCTCTCTGGTTGCTGGGGCTAGGGCGGCAGGGGTGTCCTGGGGGAAGTGATCGGGGCGGGCACGTGGGAGGAAAGTCGCCTGCCGGTGCTGAGGTGGAATTGATCTGCTGTAGAGGCCAGAGCCCCGGCACACACTCTCACAGGTCGAGGCAAATAGAGGCTCCGAGTACCATGCTTCCTCCCTGAGGATGCTGTACTCCAAGGAGCATTCCAAAGGGCCTCTTGTCCTATGCCCTGGGCACACCAGAGGCCAGCCGCCAGGGTTGGCCATTGTCGGCCTGCACACACGCTGTTGTGCGCTGCCTTGACGACCCAGAGGCTCCCGCACCCGCAGCAGCGGTTGCGGTGCCTGTTGGTGGGGCTCTGCAAGCCCAGGGCCGGGGCCTCTGGCTCCCGAGCTCCTGTGCGCAGTTGAGCCTGCTGGGGACCGGAGCCCTTTGGCCAGTGCGGGATCTGCGGGTCCAGCGGAGCTCCTCAGGAAACCTGGGTCCACGTAGGTGTGGGACCAGGTTCACAGCAGGGCGACGCCCGTGGGTCTTGCAGGGAGCGGGTCTGCTGGGGAGCGGGCCCCCAGAGCCTACGGGTGCGGGGCATGGGCTGGGCTGGGCTGGGCTGCGCAGGCCCAGGGTCTGTGGGAGCACCCAGGAGAAAACCGTGTTCAGGCTGGAGGCAATGCTGGAGAGGACGGCCGGGGTACAGAGCAAGGAGGCGGCCTTGGAAGAGGAGGCGGTGCTGAAGGTGGAAGACATCATGGCTGAGGTGGAGGTGGTGGTTGAGGTGGAGCCCGACGTGGGGTGGCAGAAGGAGGGCCAGCGGGCACAGCCTGGCCCTGGACCGAGCACACCGGGGCCGTCAATGGACTCACTGGAGGTCCTTCACTTGGAGCTGGGCTCCGTGAATGCCCCAGGCCACAGAGCATCTCCGCCTTGTGAGCCAGAGCCATATCCTTGCGGCTGCCGATTTGGGATGGCGGGCAGCAGGGGATAGTCATCGGGCCTCGGGGGGTATGGGGGCTGTTTGGGGGGAGGAGCCAGGTGGGAGGCACGTGGGGTCAGCCAGGAGGCAGGGGATGGGGCACAGCGTGGGAGCCGAGGCCACGTTCCCGCAGCTGTGAGGGCAGCTCGCTTGTAGCAGCCCTGGGAGCACGTGGTAGGGAAGGGGAGCCAGGGCCAGCACTGACAAGGGAGAATCGCGGCGCCAAGGTCCCTTTGCGCACAGCCCAAATTCGAAGGACGCGTTTCCCTGGGAACGTCCCTGGAGGACGGGGAATCTGTATGCCATTACCAGCCATTGAACCACCCCTGCTCTCGGTGCCTGTTTCCAGCAGGCTCACCCCAGAAACACAAGGTGCTTAAGACGGGTTCGCGGCGCATGGGGCTGCCGACCACCTGACGGCGGGCACCAGCTCCGCAGATGCGCATTCATCCAACTGCAGGCGCTGCACTCAAAGGCGTGTAGGCCCTGAGCCTGTATAACTTCCTCTGGACCCACGCAATTCCCTTGGAGAGCGCCAGGCACGACCCTGCTGTGGCTTCTAACTACAAGGCTTCCCTCAGGTGGACAGGCCCACCCCTCAGGGAGACTAGGATAAGAGGACACCACACACCCGGACATCAGCGGAGCATGTCCAGCACCCAGCACACAAAGGCCTCCTGCATCTCAGAAACTCAGAGAAGCAGCCGCCTCACACCACCCCCGGTCCCTCCCGTCCCTCAGCTGCAACCACCTGCCCACTTTTTCTGCCTCCCGTCTCTGGTCAGCCCAGGCCGTCTTGGCCGGGGTCCACCCACTCCAAAAACCACCACAGTTGTGGCGTTGCCTCCTCGCCAGACAGAGATAGAGGGCCAACAATGAAGGGTGACTGGCCAAATGTCTGGGAGATGGCCCTGTTCCACATTGTCTGTGTTCTTGCGAAATTGCAAGGCGTCACGAGGCTTGCCCACCCAATCCTCTGGAGAGTTCTTGCGCAGAGGTAGATTGTTTGGCACACGAGATGTCGGCGTGGGTCGGAAAGCATGCGGAAGTCCTGCTTTGCTACGTGATGGATTTGCAGGTCAGGCTGGGGAGCCTGGGTCTGTGGGAGGAGTCCAGTGTCTGAGTCAGTTTGAGGTCCCCCTGGGGACCAGGGTTGTCTCAGTGGGAGAGCTGGGAAGGGGAAACTCATGGTTCACTACAGCTAGTAGGCCACCTCAGCCCGGCTAGTTGAGATGGTCCCATTGAATCCATCCTCTTTCTCCTTGATCCGGCAGGTGGAGGAACTCAGCCATCCCGGTTACCGGTGGCAGGATGATTTCCTTTCATCCCAACCTTTATTTCCACAGTGAAATCATCATGAAGGAGCACTGTGTTGGCATCCTCGGTAAGGAATGCCTCCCAGCATGGTAGGGGAGCTGGTGTGTGGGAGGGTGGGACTGGCATGAACCTTCCTGACTCCTCTCCCTGCAGGCTACAGGGTGTCTCATTCCACTGCAGTCCAGCGGTTCTGGGATCACGAAGGTCAAGCCTCCAGCTGCAGGCAGTACACCTCCTACCTGAGCTCATTCAGCTGTTTGGCTGAACATGACTGCCCGGGTTTTGGCAGGATTGCTGAGGTGGGGTTCGCCGTGGGGCATCATGGGAAAGGACCTAGCTGGTCATTCCTTGGTCTCTGGGGAATTGGCTTTGAACTGTCACCTGAACTGTCCTGGACCCACTTCTGCAGTCCCCTAGATCATCAGCCAGGGCCTATGGCTCAATCCATTGCAGTTCTATCCCATGGAGAGAGGGTCAGCCCTAGAGGCGGAACAGAGAGGAGGCCAGGCGAGCAGCCTAGGGCTGGGAAGGGCTGGGAACTGAGAGGCCTTTTGACCTGGATCTGGGCCCCACATGGAGAACCCAAGGATCCGGGAGGAGACTGCAGTGAGCAATCCCAGGCAATCCGTGGGTTGGGGGAGAGAGGCCCATCAGGGACATGTAACACCCACATTTCAGGATCGGGGCACCTTAAGCCACTATGATGCATATGTGGCTAAAGTCAGTGGGTGACAAGCAGGGCTTAAGGGATAGCTGTCTCATCATTACTCGCCAGCTCCCTGCCCTGCGGTAAGACCTGCTACCACCTGGGGCTCATTTTGAGATCAACCAGGGCCCCCTTTTTCTCCACGAGGATGTCCACCTGAGGCCCACCTAGGTCTGTGTCCTTTCACAGTGTTTCTCCCAGGCCAGTCATGTTTTGTTTCCATGACCCCGGCTGCCTTGACATGTGTAATCCTCTCTGCCATCCTCACTCCCGCTGCCCTGCCTTCCCATATAAGTTAGTCCACCTCACACGGAATCTGGAGGACCACACTGGGCTCCAGTGTGAGGCAATGTTTTATTTTCTTCAGGTACATGTATTTTAGGGCTACCTCCAGGGCTGGGAATGTGAAGAGATTGCCAAATGGCTGGGGACCTTCAGTGTGTGTCCAGGGAGGGAACCCGGCTGGGAATTAAGGCCCACCTGAGTAATGGTATGGACATCCAGTGTCAGTTATCTTGATAAAGGCCTGCTTTCTTACATCACCTACTATTAATATAAAAGTTAATTCCTTAGAATATTGAAAAAACAAATCTATGTATGAAGAAATATAATTTGTTCATAATTGTATGGAAAAAGCTGCCGACCGATCCATTTTCCATTACAATTCTTATGGGAGACTTGAAGGGTTTAGCAAGTTTTAAGATGCATTTCTATTCGTCTACTCCTGCCAGTTTTTATGATCATTTTTGTAATACAAGGACATGGCCTCTGGAAAGTTTTTGAGGGACTTTCAGCTTCTTTTAGGGTAGATACTTGTAAATTTTGAATTGTTTTCCCCTGCAGTTCTTTTGAGGTTACTCTTTGTACTTTCTTTGGGGGGTGTTAAATTTGTTTTCTTCTTTTGCCCTTGTGGAACTTTCGTTTTCAAGGAATTGTGTGTGTGTGTGTGTGTGTGTGTGTGTGTGTGTGTGTGTGTGTTAGATATGGGAGTTAGCCTGTGAGCATGTTTTCGAATATGGATTTTTTTTTTACTTATCAATTTTGGGGGTGTGTGTGTGTGTGTGTGTGTGTGTGTGTGTGTGTTTGTTTCTTTTCAGTTGGAGTCTCACTGTGTCATCCAGGCTGCAGTCAAGTGGCAAACTCTCAGATCACTGCAACCTCTCCCTCCAGCTTCAAAGGATTCCTCTGCCTGCTGATGCTGCTTTTCCCCCACATGAGGAGAACATGCAGACAGTTATAAAAAATTCTGTGCCTGGGTAGGTATGAAAATATAATTTCAATGAATGGTAAATTTCACAAATACAGTTTCACATTTGTATTTTGCAACATTTTGAAAATTTTAGTTGCTGACACATGAAATTCTGTGTTGACTTTCATGTTAAATGTACACTTTTGAATCAATTTCAACAGTGACAACTAGCGAAGGCCAAGCGTTAGTTCAGGAAGCTGAAAGCAGTCGTTCTGTAAAAAAAACCATATTTATTGAAGGTATATTTAGAGAGATTTTAGAAGGCTTCAGTCAATATTTTTGTTTCTGTTGCTCTGGTGTTTTATCATACAGGGACCAGACTGTAGCATCAGTAGCTATAGTTACAAGGCTACCAAAGACTCAGTGCTATAGAAATTATTATTGTGGAAATTGGCAGCCTGGCTGTCTGTTTGAGGAGACTAGAGGACTTAGGAGTTTCCACCCAAAGTACAAGGGCCTGGTTTAGTGGGTGGCCTTCTTTTGCTGAAGTAGATAAGATCCAGGAGAAGGGTGGATTCACTGTAGTAGCCAGGGCTTTGAGACTGGTAAAGCTTATTTGTCTCCTAGTGCCATTGCCAGATATTGGTCTGTGCATAAAGGCACTTCCCGGACTCGCTGACTCCTGTAAATTCAAATGTAGAATTTAGATTTAAATCCCTATTCCAACTTCTTAAACTTAGATCTAATAGGTGGGTAATAAAATATGTATTCAGAAGAAAGGGAGACGTCAGGTAGGTATATAAGCAAATCATCCTGGTCAAATACCTTCAAAAATATTACTACAAAAAATTACTGAAGATTAAACCTTAAAAAAGTTATTTTAATTGGAGAAACAGAAAAAGGTTGGAGTCATTTTAAACCCTGAGGTGTAAAGGTACTGTTATTAGATTACAGGAATTATATACAATGAATAATTTGTGGGAAGAGCAGCATACTATCTCTTTAGTATGGCTAGAGATTCATAAGCCGTGTAAGAAAACTCAGAGATTGAGAAGAAAATGTTTTCAGGGATTTTGTTCTGTTATGAAAGACTTTTAAAATGGTTTCCTACTGATCAATGATTCACTTATATTTATCACTGAGGCATATGCTATATACCCTTCTATATAGGGATGAAGTTATAGTTTCTATCATGTAGATACAAAAACATGTGACTCTGTACCACATTTGCATTAGAGCCTTTGGCATGATTAATGAAGCAAACGGTGGAACTGTCTACGTCAGGTTACAGGTGGGCACAGCTGGAAGCTTCCGTCCCTTGCACTTTAACATTTCTGCATTCTCATCTGTCTCTCCTGGAAAGAAAACGGACTATAACTATCCTAAAGGACATATGTTACATGAAGACACTAAGTATTGAGATAAGACCATGAGTTGTCTTATCAGTGTCTTGGCATTACATTTATATGTATAACTTATACAAAAAATCCAGTTTATTTTATCACGATTACATATTACATCCCACATTTATGTATTTTATTATCTTTCCAGTGACTGTTTTGTTTTGTTTTGTTTTGTTTTGTTTTGAAATCTCGTTCCACTCTGTCACTCAGTCTGGAATGCAGTGGCCTGATCTCAGCTCACTGCAACCTCCATCTCTTGGGTTCAAGGATTTTAAAAATTAGTAAAGAATTTTCAATTGAGTTAGCAGAAGTAAAAATAAACTTAAGTGGAAATAGAACAACAAAATTGTAAACACTATTTCTCAGCAATTCATAGATTATCATACTAGGAATTGAAATGTACTTAGAACTCAATGATACCGCCAATATTAAAGATTAAATCTGTGAGTAGCAAGAAAAGTGATATTACAATAGGAGTTTACAGACAAATATTTCTCTAATAACTTGAAAATTAATGTACTAGATATTTCAATAAAGAATTAGAAAAGAAACAACAGAATCAATTCTGAAAAACTAAAGTGTGGGAATAATGATGTAGACAAAATTAGTAAAACATACAAAGCTAACCTTTGCTTGTTGGAGAAATATAATAAATGATGCAACCGTCAGTCAAGTTTAGAAAAAAAGGGAGAAAACATAGATAAAACTAAGAATTTAAAAGGTACACAACCATAGATACAGCATAGATTAAGAAGCTAATAAGGAAATATCATTAACACCTTAACCTACAAATTTGAAAACTTAGATCAAATAGACAGATATTTATAATCTGTCTATATATATAGACATATATATCGCTTTCTATATATATTTTCATATTTATACATAATTTTTATATTTGTATCTTACATTTATATATATAATATATAAACATAAGCTATGTATATAGCTTAGTAAAATTGATACAAGAAGACATATATAATCTGTATAGTCTCATAAATGTTCAAGGAAATAAAGGATTCTTCCTAGAGATAAAACGCTAGGCTCAGATTTTTTTCCCCAGGCAGAGCATTTCAATATATATGAAGAATTCTATAGAATAAAAAAGGGAAAATCCTAAACTCATTGTGTGAAGCAAGCAGAACTTTGACGCCAACAAGCCATAAACTGAGTGTAGAAAAAGATATGAAAATTAAGGCCATTCTCATTCCTGAAGCAAATCGTAAAATCCCAAATGTAACAAGATTTATGTGGATTCTTTGAGGGTTAGAAGGAAATTTCCTTCTGCCAGATCCTGCTACTCTGGGACAACCCACACACAAATTTATGTTTTGAGATTTTCTGTAATACCCATGCAATATGGAACTGGCTTGACAATCTGTGTGATAGCCAGCCTGTGGCCATGACTTCTCAGGGACACAAATCTTTTCTGTTTGCCTCCTTGTTCTGCTCAGCTCCAAGAGAACTTTGACCAAAGTTCCTTGAGCTTGGAAATAGGAATGGGTTTGCTTCTGTTTCACCCTTACTGTGAAGATACAGTCCGGTGGAATCCAGATCCACTGGGAGAGAGTCGGCTATTAAACTCTTTTCATGAGTAGTCCCTAGGCCTTGACTGGAGTCTTTCTTGAGATATGAGGCTAATAGTTCCTTCTTGGTCCACCACTTTTTGATATAATTAATGCTTCTTCTATTGGGAATTTTTAATTGTTTGGGAAGTGACATGGTTTGGTGTGTCTCCATTCAAATCTCAGCTTCAATTGTATCTCCCAGAATTCCCTCGTGTTGCGGGTGGGACCCAGGGGGAGGTAATTGAATCATGGGGGTCGGTCTTTCTCATGCTATTCTTGTGACAGTGAAGAAGTCTCACGGGATCTGATGGGTTTTTCAGGGGTTTCTGCCTCAGGTTCTTCCTCATTCTCTCTTGGCATTGCCATGTAAGAAGTGCCTTTATTCGTATACCATGATTCTGAGGCCTCCACAGCCATGTGGAACTGTCAGTCCAATTAAACCTCCTTTTATTCCCAGTTTCAGGTATCTCTTCTTCAGCAGCGTGAAAATGAACTAAGACAGGAGGTTTGGTCCAAATAACCTTGGCTTCCATGATAGAAGATAGAAGTTGCTGAAATGTTTAATCTTTTCTGTGGCAACCTTTTGCAGTGGGTCTTATTTTTCTCATTTTTTTTTCTTGTTCTCTTCACCTTTGTTTCTCACAGGGTACTCTCGCTCTGTAGACCAGGCTGGAGCGCAGTGGCAGGATCTCAGCTCAACACATCCTCCGCCTCCCAGGTTCAGCCTCTGCAGTAGCTGGGATTACAAGCATGCATCACCACGCTCAGCTAATGTTTTGTATTTTTAGTAGAAGCCAGGCTTCACCATGTTGGCCAGGCTGCTCTCCTACTACAGATCTCAGGTGACCCGCCCGACTCAGCTTCCCAAAATCCAAAGTGCTGGGAATACAGGTGTGAGCCACCGAGCCCAGCCAACTCCAGTATTTTTTACCTAAGCCAGTGGACGAGTGGAGTTGCCTTTATTTTTTTTTTCATGGTCTCGCTGTGTCATCCAGGCTGGAGTGCAGTAGTCTGATCTCGGCTTACTATACAATCTCTGCCACCCATGTTCAGGTGGTTCTCCTACCTCAGCCTCCCAAGTAGCTGGGACCACAGGAAAGTGCCACTAGGTCTGGCTAATTTTTGTATTTTTGGTAGAGACAGCTTTTTGCCATGTTGCCCATGCTAGTCTCCAACTCCTGACCTCAAGTGACCCACCAACCTCGGCCTCCCAAAATGTAGAAATTACAACAAGAGCCACGAAGCCTGGCCTGGAGTTGTGGCTTTTTGACATAAGAAATCTGTGGAGGGAAAAGCTTGGTTTGTGGGAGCACCTGAGCTCAGTTTGGCTCAAAGGTTTGGGATACCTATTATTGAGTGGCAGTGATGGTATGTTGTTAATGTACAATATCTTCCTGTATATAGCATACGTCTATGCTCATCAGATATTTTCAGGTAAAAAAAGATAGTCTTTCCAGTAGTTTGAGCCATTATAGCAATTTCCACCAGGGGATTTCAAAGTCCAATTCCAGTTGTGGGCAACAGTGATTAACATAATGGTAATTAATGAGAAGAGATTTTGAGACGTCCAGCCACGTTTCCATGTCAGTGCCTTGTTTGCAGTATTATGAAGAAAGAGTGCATTGGACTAGATACTAAGAAAAACATTGAATTATTTTTCTTGCCTCTATAACATCAAAGGACAATTAGAGATATAGAAACTATGGAACATTTCACAGCATGGCTTGACATTTCACTGAACTTTTATCCTTTTAACCATGTACAAAGTTTGTTACCTATGCAAAGGTAGGACTGCAAAAGGAAGACAGAGGTGGAGTCAGAGGTCACAATCCACAGCAAGGTGACACTCTTGTTGATCGCACCTTGAAAGCCAAATTAGAGCGAGAATTAACTTTCCGGTTGCCGTAAGAGAACAAGGAGAATGAAGCTACCAGCAGTTAACAGTATTGGATTAATTGAAATGAAGGTGGACAGAGTTTTTTGGCTTTCCATCAAATTGAGTAAAGAAAAGGTAACCGCTTATCTAATTTCACACACATACAATTATGGATTAATTAAAAGATTACACAACCCATATATTATGGGTTTCTCATTTAAGTGTATATATACATGGGCAAACTCACAGTGTGCCAGTATGTGTCTATATCCAAATATATACAAATCCATGTCCAACAGTTAGCAAGTGAGAAATTCTCTTCCATTTCACCATTCCCTTTCCTAGAATTTTTTCATAAATATAATTTTTCCATATATTTGAAGCCTACTCTCTGGAGGCATGTAATGCATGCATGCAGTAAACCTGTGCGATATCACAATGTTGGTGTCAGAGAAAACTATAACACCGATGTTATAAAAGATTAATTGTGAGGAGAAAGTTATGCTTCGCATTACTACAAATACACAAGTATGATTTCATCCAAAGCTGAAATCAGTCAATATAATTTGTTTTTAATGTTTTATTTAAAATCCTTAATTTCAACAGGATTACTCAAGAAAAATAACGTTATTGGTATTAAATAATGTTGATGTATTCCCTTTAATTGTTGATTATTTAAAATGTCAGTAAAATAGTAAATGGCACTGTACAATGTAGTTTCATGAAGCATTCTTTATAGTTTTCATAAAATTGATAGTCTCCATGGAATATTTTAAGACTGAGGAAGTTCCATATATCATTTGATTGTACTTTCACTTTATTACTTGCTTGCATGTCATAACTGATGGAAATAAAACTATGTATATTTACAAATATGAAAAACATGGACTTTTGTTTACGTTTTCTAGTGAGACACAGTTACCAATAATTTTATCTATATAGGAAAATTTTTACAAACCCAAAGTTCTAATGTTTCTTTTCTTTGAAGTTTCGTATTTCAGTCTAGGTATGTAATGGAATTGGCTGTGATCATTCTTTGATTTCACTGTTATTTGTGAGTTTCTGATATGCTTTTAGGAATGTATAGAGCTTAACGCTTGCTTTCTTCTTCTTCCTCTACCTTTGGACCTGTATATGCGACGTCTGCAGTAATGTGCAGTGCTATCTGACATACGGTTGCTGAAAGATACAAGCATATATAGAATTCTTCGTTTCAGTGAATCTTTAGGAACAGACAAGTAACCTGAGAGATAATTACGGTATGAATGTAAGCAAGCAGTTTATCATAGAGGTACAATAAGGGTGAAAATAAATTTAAAAATACATGCCTCATCCAAAACATGAGGTAGTAAAAATGAAAAATTTAAGTTGGCATAAAGAACACTTTAAAAGTTCTGATTCTTTCTGGTGAGAGCAAGGAGCTCAGAAACCATGAGAAAGTCCTTCAAAGCTGCATGTTGGATTTGCAGGTCAGGATGGAAAGCCTGGGTCTGGGGGAGGGTGCTAAGGTCCTGGTCAGGTTGAGGTCCTTCTGGGGCTCAGGTGTGTCTCAGCGGGAAAGCTGGGAAGGGGAAACGCATGCTTCACCCCGGCTAGAATGCCACCTCAGCCCACCTAGATGAAATTGCCCCTTCACAGCCCTGTTTCTCCTTCTTGGACAGGCAGGTGGAGGAACTCGGCCACCCTGAATACAAGGGGTAGGAAGAAGTTTGCCTTTCATCACAACATTTACTTCGGAAACAAAGTGATGACTAAGGAGTATTGCGTTGGCATCCTCCCTGAGGAGTAGAGGGGGTAGTACCTCGGGAGCTGGGCCTGGCGTGCGCCTTCCTGACTCGTCTCCCTCCAGGATACAGGGCGACTGGCTCCACTGCAGTCCAGTGGTTCTAGGGTCATGCAGGTGAAAGCCCGAGTTTCCCGCAGGTCACTGCCTGAGCTTCTTCAGCTGGTTGTCTGACTGTGAGGGCCCAGGTTACGGCACGATTGCTGAGGTGGGGCAGCTATGGGGCATCATGGCAAAGGACCTTCTTCGACATTCCTTGGCATCGGAGGAATTGGCTTTGAACCAGAACCTGACCTGTCACGACCAATTTGCCCAGTCCACCAGATCATCAGCCAGGGCCTGTGGCTCTATATTCTGCAGCACTACCCAAGGGAGTTAGGCCCTCAGAGAGGGAAGAGAGAAGAGGCCAGGGAAGCAGCCCAGGGCTGGGGGTTGACAGGCCTGTGGGTCCTGGAGTTAGGACACACATAGAGAAGCCAAGGCTCAGGGAGGAGACTGCAGTAAGGAAACTCAGGCCATCATGGGCTGGTGGAGAAATGCCCATCAGGGAACTGTGGTACCCACATTTCACGATGGGGGAACCGTAATCTGCTTAATAGGCACAAGTAGCTAAGGTCAATGGGTGGGAAGCCAGGGTCAAGAGATAGCTGCCTCATCATCCCTTGCTAGCTACTTCCCTGTCCTGAGGCTTGCTTCTACCTGGGGTTCAGTTTGGGCTCAACCAGGGATCTCTCACCCTCCACACAGATGCCCACCTGAGGCCTCTCTAGGTCTGCGTCCTCCCAGAATGACTCTCCCAGGCCTGCTAAGTACCGTTTGGATGACACCACGCTCCACTGACATACTTGGTTCCCTCCGCCATCCTCATTCACCCAGCAACTCCCCACCCCAAAAAAGGCAGGCCACCGCACAGGGAATCTGGAGGACCACACAGGGCTCACAGGGGAGGAAATGTGAAGAGATGGCAAAACAGAACAGGACATTCCGTGTGTTTCCAGAAGGCAATCTGGCTGGATATTAAGGCCCACCTCAGTATTGGTGAGGACACCCAGTGTCTCTTGGCCCTGAGCTTGTGCACACAAACACGCACATTGTCTAAACGGCATTGACATCACTACTACCTGAGTCATCCTCAGATTCTATACAACCCCTGTAAAAATATCAATGACACATTCTTCTTAGAAAAACAATCTGGGAATCCCAAATTTGCTATGAAATGGCAGAAGATCCTGAAAACCCAGAGCAATCCAGTAAAAAGCACAAAGCTGGAGCCACCACACTACCTAACTTCATGATATACTACTACAAAACTTTTTGTACCAAAATACAATAGCACTGGCAGAAAAGCAGAGACTAGAGCTTAGGAAAAACAACAGGAGCCCAGAACTAAGTCACTGCATTTGCAGCTCACAGCCTTTTCCCAAAGAAGCAAGAACGCCCAATGCAAAATCAAGTATCTTCTATAAACTAGGTTGGGGAAATCTGAATAGCCACACAAAGGATTTTACAAGTGGATTATTTATCACCAAACTCCAGTGTCAGATGTGAAACGATAAAAATAGCAGAAGAGATCACAAGGAAGAAGCTCCATGGCGTCCGTGTGTGCAATGATGGTCTCAAAGTGACTGCAAGAACACAGTAAACACCATCAAAAATAGAGAATGGAATCATATCAAACTAAAGTGCTTCACCACACCATAGAAAACTCAACATACAGAAGGGGCATCCTACAGGATGGGAGCAATGATTGGATCACCATACATCTGTTCATGGGGGAATAGTCACAGTACATAAGGAACTCCCAACAACTCAATAGCATGAAAACAAATGGGCGAAGGCTGCGAAGACTCATTTGTGAAACTGAGACATACAGTTGCCCAGAAGACACACTAAAAATTCCTCATTATCCCCAATCCATCACGAAAATGCAAATCAAAAACACAATGAGATTTCTTCTCACTTCAGTCAGAATGCATATTATCCGAAAGACAAACAAACAAAAAAAAAAAAGAAAGAAAAGAAAACCCTAATCTCTGGTGAGGAGGCAGAGAAAACGAATTCCCTGCTCACTTTTGGGGAGAATGTAAATTAGTGCTGGCATTAAAGAAGCTTTATGGCTCTTATTTAAGTATAAACAGCCTTCAGAAATCTACAAGTAGAACCACCCACTATATGATCCAGCAAATCAGAATACCCGGGCACGCCCGCCAGTACACAGATCAGTATGTTGAAGCGGTGCGCGCACCCATGCAATTATTGCTGCACTCATTACATTTTTGCTGTAGCCAAAATGCGGAAGCAACCTGAGTGTCCCTCCATTGATAAGTGGATTAAAAAATGGGGCAAAAACGCATATGCGCAACGGAAATATGCGCTGCAATAAGAAATCAGGAAATCCTGCCAGTTGTGAGAATGTGTGGGAATCTGCTGAATGTGTGCATGCCATTCTGTTAAGTGACATAAGCCAGGTATCAGAAAGGAAAATAGCACATGATCTCATTCTTATATGAAATCAAAAAAGCGGACTTCACAGAAGTAGTGACTCCAATGACTGCGGTGAAGAGGGTGCACTGACGAGATGCTGGATGAAGAACTCATACTTCTAGTTATAAAGGAGGAATAGGTTAAAATATTTTCTTCAGCATGCTCACTATAACTAGTGGTAACATATTCTTTCTCTAAAAATATTCGAATACAGTGCAGGTCAAGTTTTTTCACAACAAAAATGACAACTATGTGAGGTCACACATATGTTGATTGGCTGGATGTATCCAATGCATAATGTATATGACCTGTTGAACATCACGCCTTAAGTTGTAAATATGTATCATTTCATATGACATTTTTTAAACAAACATACAATTTTTAAAATGCCTTAACAAAATAAATGCAAATAAAATATTTTATTATAAAGCAGTGCTTTTCTTTTCTAGCAAAGTCTTTTTCATGACACAGGAAAGAATGCAAGCCGTTTCGTAACTTGAGAAATAAATACATATGTGTACATGTATATATATACGTATATACATGTATATACGTATATAAATGTGCATATATACGTATATACATGTATATACGTATATATGTGTGTACATAGGTATTCTTATATAGGTGTATATATATATGAAAATCCCAATGAATGCTGATGATGAGTTGAAAGATAGAAATTCCAGGCACAGAGACTATAGTCCATGAATTGAAACCTTCAGTGCATGTTTCAAAACAAGACGTGAGGAGGAGGAAGAAAAAAGCAAAAAACACAAAGCCATGGCAGGGCCATGGGTCACACCTGTCATCCCAGCACTTTGATAAGCTGAGGTGGGAGGATTGCCTGCACTCAGGAGTTCCAGATGAGCCTGGGGCAACATGGACCCACATTCAAAAAGTAAGTATTTAGTTAATTAATACATAGCTTGGAGGGGTGGCATGCACCTGTACTGCCAGGTGTGTGAGAGTCTGAGTTGACAGGATCACATGGGTGTGTGGTGCCTGGGCTGCAGTGGGCTGAGATCGTGGGGCTGCTGTCCAACCTAGAAGACAGAGTAAGACCCATTCTCGGAAAACAAACAAAAAAAGAGTCACATTAGGTAAATTAAAACTATGTAGTGTGAGGAGAATCAAAATAAACGAAACATCATTAGAGCCTACGCGATGTGATGAAGGAAACCAGCTTTCACATAATAACAGCCCCGGCTGGGGAGAACAATGAGAAAGGGCAGAGAGAACCCTGTAAATAATACCACGCCAAATTCCCCAAATGAGTTAAAACACATAAAAGTACGAAGAGTGCTTCTTTTCAATTCAATGCCCTTGAATTCAGAATTAGAAAGTAAACCCAGATAGAGAATAGAAACATAGACGATACAGATGGAGAGAGTGTGGTGGGGAAGCAAGGGAAGGATGAAAGGGGTGTAAAGGAAGGAAAAGAAAAAAGGAAGGGAGAGAGAGTGACAGATGTTCAAAGACACAGATACAAAGTCTACAATGGTTGTAGAGATAGGCATGTGCAAATTGTCGCAGGGAGTGTGGAAAAATATCGGAACCACGGAGACACAGGTGGAGTCAGAGAAAATATACAAACCCGCACAGAGAAATAAACATACGCAACCACAAACACACACGTGCTACTTTAAACACGAAAAGACACCAAGTCCCTGTCGGTACAAATCACAGATGTGCTTCCGAGTTACTGAGGCACGGTGCAAATTTGTCAGTGCCCTTAGCATCTGTGGCCCACGTGCACGGATATTCAGTGGAAGAAGCATTACACAGCCTGTATAATTCAGCACGATCTGTGATAATACCAGAAGAAGGGATCTCATGTGAAATCACTAGACTGAATTGCACGTAGGATTCAAGGAAGAAGCCCAGTCTGCTGCATTCACTCGGTGGGGTGGCAATATGGCTGAGCCACCAACCCGTGGCACGCCCATCCATCGTAGACAGTTCCTGGTTTGCTACCTGCCTTGGAAAAAGCTCCTCCCCTACCACCACTTTAAAACAGGCTAGCTCCAAAACTAGCCCTGGCATCTATTTACGGTCATTTTCTTATCTATTTACCTCCTAGAAAAATCATTGCAAGACCCTTTCCTCAACATTTTCCTATGCCTTAAATTTGGGGCAACACGTTTTAAGACGACCTCGTTATAGGCAAGTCCCCAGACGTTTCCTAATCTGAGTTGCCCAGAGTGCACACACCAATCTGTTGCCCCATTGCCGCTATAGGGATACCGTACTGGACCACAGTGTCTTTGACATGCACACAGTAGGATAGAGGGCAGCTTGAGGGGGCCAAAGTGTTCCGACTGTTTTCAGAATAATTTGCTTAGAACACCTGTTTCTCCTGTGTTTGTGGGTCAGGGGGACGGTAGTCAGAGGAGGACAAGACTCCCGCTCCAGAGCTTCAGAGGTCTGCATAGGAGCAGGGACAAAACCGGGCGATAGATTTTCAAAGCTCAACTGCTTTGACACCGAGCAGGAGGTGTAGAATGCATATTGCAGGCACCACAACAGATTCAGGAACTTTGACTGTCAAACCCTCTTCCCTGAAACAACATAGCTCTTCTCACAGAAGCTGTGCTGACTGGAGTCTATACGGGACAGCAATGTTA
Source organism: Homo sapiens (assembly GCF_000001405.40). Lineage (NCBI taxonomy): Eukaryota > Metazoa > Chordata > Mammalia > Primates > Hominidae > Homo > Homo sapiens. The sequence continues at coordinate 9,361,791 of NC_000024.10, read as the reverse complement.
GCACTCTAGTAGCGTGTGGTCAACATGGATGCTCGTGTTGGAACTGTTTCATCTGGGAACAGGAAAGAAAGTTCTGCCTCCGACACTGAAATCCTCCTGCCCCATCCTTGACAGAGGCAACCCCTTGTCTTGTGCAGACACACGTGTTCCTGGGAAGCAGCCTCCCACTCGCGAATGAAAGCTGTATGTTTTGTCCTCCTGTGTGAGGCTTGCAAAACATATTCCGCAACTATATTCACTTTACGTTCTAAACCTTAGGCAAACTATGCTGAAGAGGCCACAGAAAATTTAGGGGCCCTGGGTCCAGATACAATCTGCAGTGCCAATCACGAGGGAGAATAGAGCCTCACTAGACTTTGCAAGAGCACAAAATGCACTCGTACTGTTGTTAGCTACATACGTTATTGGCTCCTCACCTAACACAGAATCTTGGAGAAAAGCTTAAAACAACTAAAGATGTAAACATCAACAAGAGTGTCCATATCCTGGGTCATCAAGTGACAAGAGAGTCCATGGATGGATTCTCCAACAATCTTATATTCCACTAATCCACCCCCTTTCCCCTCACTTCTGTAAGTTTCTGTTTTCCCTTAGTCATCTCTGCCAAAAGCGTATCCTGAATGCCTTCCCACATGCCTCTGTCACCTTTCCCACAGTCCCTCCATACACCTTGCATGCCCATTTCTTCTCACGTTGATGTTTCAGAAGTCCTGAGAGGCTGATTGTCCCAGAAAAGGATCATGCATTCACCTTTAAAAGAACATGTGGATTCAACACGAAAGCGAACTTTAAGATTTCCATCATCCTGTGCTTAGCTACTGTGTATGATGATACCCAAAATGAAGGATTTTGGAGGTCCCAGCAAACTGGGCCCTGGAAACCCAGTAACCCCTTTCCTTGAACTATCTCTGCTTCCACAGGACGAAGTCAGCCTCCAACTAAGCTGTCTTTTGCTTTTACCTCTCCCACTCTGTCCTGTAGGAAGAATCCCAACACATCCCACACCCATTCACTCTACAACTTTAGAGGCCCAGCTCCAACGCAGACTGGTTATTTCCATGAAGAGAATAAAGCACGTGGATTGATCAATTCATTATGACACCCGAATAAAGTGGATAAACATACACACACACACACACACACACACACACACAAACACAAAGACACACACACACACACACAGACACAGAGTCACACATCCTTGAGAATGTTTATTTTTCATTCCATACAATCCACATTTACCCCCTCTTCCTGAATTTTTGTGACTCGATCTCTTTTTCCTTTAGTTCCTGTGCATAAGACCATGCTGAGTACTGCCGTCCTGCATATGGCTGTAACTTTTTAGGAGTTCTGCTGTATTAGGTAAAATCTGATGCTCCATCATATTCAACTCAACAACTGGGAGTCCCCTAGAGAAACACAAACTCATGTTAAAACGCATTTTCTCTGAGCCATACTTTGAAATGTTTCAATTGTGGGGCCCGCTGAGAAAAGGATATCCCTTCCCCATTTGTGATCCCTTAAACTTCCTCCTACCACGTGTTACAAACTGTTCTGCGCAATCCCTGCCCCATTCCCAGTATTGTCTGTGAGGGGAGTCAGCTAACAAGATGCACTGGGCCCTAAAAGCACACACAAGTCTGATGGGGCAACAGCTTAAGGAAATCCATCAATCTAAACAGTCCTTTGTGGTTTGGGGCAAGGATGACCAGGACGCACATTCAGGGAGCCCAATCTCATGGGGTTGGCGGGATGACTGCCGGTGGGGTTGACAGCCGTGGAATCAAGTGCCACAGACTGAACTGAATGATTTTCAGCTTTACTTCTCATTGATTCTGGAAATGGACGATTCTTCACTGGGCTTAAGACTCCACAGCTATCACCCGCTTTGCAGTGCAGTCTCTAACGTGCCTTTTCAGCCCAATGCCATGAACGTCCTGGATTCTGTCACTCTCTGTCTTCCTCTCAAGGAATTTCTACATGTACGAAAGGAGCCTCAATTTCTACATTTCTGAAATGAGCACCCAGGCTCCCTGAATAGGCAGGTGTGTCAACCCCCTTATACTGGGCATCAAACAGCTCCAGTGCCAACTAACGGCTCACCTGACGTCTCTGTTCCCTCTTCAGGTGGCTTCATCCTCTTGTAGTATTGCAGGGGATTGCGCCACAGGTCCTTACATAGGATCTGTCAGGGGACTCAATCGGGAAAGGCCTCATCAGGGCTCAGAAAGGTGACCCAAGCAGCTGGGAACACACGGGGTCATTCCTCATGTTTCCCAGTGAGGACTCACCTCAGCAATCTTGTTAGATCCTGCGAAGTTGTGGTCAGAGAACCAGTTGAAGAAGTTAAGGCTGCTGTTGTGGTGTCTGCGGCGATAGGCCTCCACTTCATAATCCAGATACCACTCAATTGGAGTGGAATGAGAAGCCCTGTATTCTACAGAGACAGGAGTTTTTGTGGGAAGGGGGCTGGATCCCGTTGGCAATGATCCACCCACCATCTTCCTTCCACTACCCATCCTGGGAGCCACCTGTCACCTGTGATGTTCACCAGATATTCCTTGGTAATCACTTTATTCTGGAAGTAGGGGTTACTCCGAAAGAACAACATGATCTTGCAGAGATGAACAGGATGCTTCTCTTCTTCCACCTGTCAGGACAAGGTGGAGAAAGCTTAGATAGGTTTTCGGGTGAGGTGCTCACTCTTGCTTACAGGAATGAATTATTTCCCTTACCCTCCCCCGCTAAACCCTCCAGCCCCAGTCTTCCTGGCCTCACCTCCAGGCTGACCATGTAGCTCAGCATGTCTTCATCTTCGTCAGTGATCAGGGCTGACATCTGGGGGTGGTTTGCAATCTGATTTAGGTCAAAGAGACTTTACACACGATGGAAGGGAAAGCGAGGAGCAACAGGGAAGAAGGCCTAAGAGCACCCAGAGGCTGGGGTAGGGGATTTCTCAGATCTGCTTCCATGTATGATCTCCTTTCGCCTCCCCGTCCCCGTAAACTAAGGCCTCCTGTGTTCACAGAGGGTGTATGATTCTGAGGCTGACTGCACTGACATGGGGAGGCGCGATTTGCAGAGACTTGCTGGTGTCTGAGGAGTGGCAGAATCTGCTTATAGCCGAAGACGCCCAGTCCCAGATCGGACTAGCAAGGGGCAGCAATCACACTCCCTTAAAAATAGCTTCATTCACTGAAAAACCTCTTCCGCTCTGAACTCGCTTCTGCTCTTCAAAAAGATGCCCCAAACGTCTGCTGCTCGGCATCACCAAGGGTTTCTCTGCCGCATGCAGGACAATAGTACCCACGCCTGCTCCGGCTTTCCACAGCCACATTGGTCCGTGGCAACTCCCCTTTGTTCCCCAAAGAGTCACATCGACGCCGAGCTGCCCATCGGTCACTTACACTTCCCCGAGAGCACCTCTCCACTAGAAAGGCCGAAGAAACACTGAGAAGGATACAACATTGGCCCAGAAGCCAGGGACGCTCTGGATGACGGCGCCTCTGCGGTCTAGGTGGGGCTTGCGCCTCCGCTCCATCTTTTCCCGCTGCCGAGAAAAGGCCTTCCTGGCTTGGGCATTAACCGGCTCCAGCTCCACCTGAACGGCCAGCAGCTCCTCCAGTGCAGACTCTGGGGTCATGGGCCCAGGGCCAGGCACAGCCTGCTGTGCCCGCTGGGCCTCCTCCCGCCGCTCCACGAGGCCCTCCTCCTCCGCCACCACCTCCACCTCCGCCATTATGTCATCCAACAGCAGCACCGCCTCCTCCCCCAAAGCCGCCTGCTCACTCTCCACCCCGGCCGCCCCCTCCTGTACAGCCTCCATCCTGAAGGCGGTGCCCTCCTTGGCACTCGCACACACCAAGGCCTGTGCTGCCCGACCCACGCCACAGAAACCCTGCCGCAGCCTCTCTGGCACCCAGTAGGTCAGCGAGCCCTCAGGGCGCATGCGCCGGGCTTCCAGGCGCCCCCTAAGGGACTGCGCGCGAAGGGCCGGGGGGCCGCACCCAGGCCGACTTCCTCCCGTCGTGGCCAGTCAATGGGAGGGCGGTGGGCGTCTCCCTGGGCGGCACAGCCACTGGCGGGCCTGCATCTCCAGCCCCCCCACCCCCCGCCTTCCCTGCCCAAGCCTCCTCCGAGAAGCCCTTGGAGCTTGTGCCGGGTAGCTAGGCATCCGGGCACACGCGGGCTGCGTGGCCTTTGGAATTGTGGGCATGGCAGCCCTGTGCCCTGACATCCTCAGTGTGGCAAGCCATGAACATCTCTATGTGTCATGAACACAGGAAACATCTCTCTTCGTTAGGCAGGCCAGGTAGATGGTACGGAGGTAATACAGCAGATGCAGAGAACTCTCTCTGGTTGCTGGGGCTAGGGCGGCAGGGGTGTCCTGGGGGAAGTGATCGGGGCGGGCACGTGGGAGGAAAGTCGCCTGCCGGTGCTGAGGTGGAATTGATCTGCTGTAGAGGCCAGAGCCCCGGCACACACTCTCACAGGTCGAGGCAAATAGAGGCTCCGAGTACCATGCTTCCTCCCTGAGGATGCTGTACTCCAAGGAGCATTCCAAAGGGCCTCTTGTCCTATGCCCTGGGCACACCAGAGGCCAGCCGCCAGGGTTGGCCATTGTCGGCCTGCGCGCACGCTGTTGTGCGCTGCCTTGACGACCCAGAGGCTCCCGCACCCGCAGCAGCGGTTGCGGTGCCTGTTGGTGGGGCTCTGCAAGCCCAGGGCCGGGGCCTCTGGCTCCCGAGCTCCTGTGCGCAGTTGAGCCTGCTGGGGACCGGAGCCCTTTGGCCAGTGCGGGATCTGCGGGTCCAGCGGAGCTCCTCAGGAAACCTGGGTCCACGTAGGTGTGGGACCAGTTTCTCAGCAGGGCGACGCCCGTGGGTCTTGCAGGGAGCGGGTCTGCTGGGGAGCGGGCCCCCAGAGCCTACGGGTGCGGGGCATGGGCTGGGCTGGGCTGGGCTGCGCAGGCCCAGGGTCTGTGGGAGCACCCAGGAGAAAACCGTGTTCAGGCTGGAGGCAATGCTGGAGAGGACGGCCGGGGTACAGAGCAAGGAGGCGGCCTTGGAAGAGGAGGCGGTGCTGAAGGTGGAAGACATCATGGCTGAGGTGGAGGTGGTGGTTGAGGTGGAGCCCGACGTGGGGTGGCAGAAGGAGGGCCAGCGGGCACAGCCTGGCCCTGGACCGAGCACACCGGGGCCGTCAATGGACTCGCTGGAGGTCCTTCACTTGGAGCTGGGCTCCGTGAATGCCCCAGGCCACAGAGCATCTCCGCCTTGTGAGCCAGAGCCATATCCTTGCGGCTGCCGATTTGGGATGGCGGGCAGCAGGGGATAGTCATCGGGCCTCGGGGGGTATGGGGGCTGTTTGCGGGGAGGAGCCAGGTGGGAGGCACGTGGGGTCAGCCAGGAGGCAGGGGATGGGGGACAGCGTGGGAGCCGAGGCCACGTTCCCGCAGCTGTGAGGGCAGCTCGCTTGTAGCAGCCCTGGGAGCACGTGGTAGGGAAGGGGAGCCAGGGCCAGCACTGACAAGGGAGAATCGCGGCGCCAAGGTCCCTTTGCGCACAGCCCAAATTCGAAGGACGCGTTTCCCTGGGAACGTCCCTGGAGGACGGGGAATCTGTATGCCATTACCAGCCATTGAACCACCCCTGCTCTCGGTGCCTGTTTCCAGCAGGCTCACCCCAGAAACACAAGGTGCTTAAGACGGGTTCGCGGCGCATGGGGCTGCCGACCACCTGACGGCGGGCACCAGCTCCGCAGATGCGCATTCATCCAACTGCAGGCGCTGCACTCAAAGGCGTGTAGGCCCTGAGCCTGTATAACTTCCTCTGGACCCACGCAATTCCCTTGGAGAGCGCCAGGCACGACCCTGCTGTGGCTTCTAACTACAAGGCTTCCCTCAGGTGGACAGGCCCACCCCTCAGGGAGACTAGGATAAGAGGACACCACACACCCGGACATCAGCGGAGCATGTCCAGCACCCAGCACACAAAGGCCTCCTGCATCTCAGAAACCCAGAGAAGCAGCCGCCTCACACCACCCCCGGCCCCTCCCGTCCCTCAGCTGCAACCACCTGCCCACTTTTTCTGCCTCCCGTCTCTGGTCAGCCCAGGCCGTCTTGGCCGGGGTCCACCCACTCCAAAAACCACCACAGTTGTGGCGTTGCCTCCTCGCCAGACAGAGATAGAGGGCCAACAATGAAGGGTGACTGGCCAAATGTCTGGGAGATGGCCCTGTTCCACATTGTCTGTGTTCTTGCGAAATTGCAAGGCGTCACGAGGCTTGCCCACCCAATCCTCTGGAGAGTTCTTGCGCAGAGGTAGATTGTTTGGCACACCCGAGATGTCGGCGTGGGTCGGAAAGCATGCGGAAGTCCTGCTTTGCTACGTGATGGATTTGCAGGTCAGGCTGGGGAGCCTGGGTCTGTGGGAGGAGTCCAGTGTCTGAGTCAGTTTGAGGTCCCCCTGGGGACCAGGGTTGTCTCAGTGGGAGAGCTGGGAAGGGGAAACTCATGGTTCACTACAGCTAGTAGGCCACCTCAGCCCAGCTAGTTGAGATGGTCCCATTGAATCCATCCTCTTTCTCCTTGATCCGGCAGGTGGAGGAACTCAGCCATCCCGGTTACCGGTGGCAGGATGATTTCCTTTCATCCCAACCTTTATTTCCACAGTGAAATCATCATGAAGGAGCACTGTGTTGGCATCCTCGGTAAGGAATGCCTCCCAGCATGGTAGGGGAGCTGGTGTGTGGGAGGGTGGGACTGGCATGAACCTTCCTGACTCCTCTCCCTGCAGGCTACAGGGTGTCTCATTCCACTGCAGTCCAGCGGTTCTGGGATCACGAAGGTCAAGCCTCCAGCTGCAGGCAGTACACCTCCTACCTGAGCTCATTCAGCTGTTTGGCTGAACATGACTGCCCGGGTTTTGGCAGGATTGCTGAGGTGGGGTTCGCCGTGGGGCATCATGGGAAAGGACCTAGCTGGTCATTCCTTGGTCTCTGGGGAATTGGCTTTGAACTGTCACCTGAACTGTCCTGGACCCACTTCTGCAGTCCCCTAGATCATCAGCCAGGGCCTATGGCTCAATCCATTGCAGTTCTATCCCATGGAGAGAGGGTCAGCCCTAGAGGCGGAACAGAGAGGAGGCCAGGCGAGCAGCCTAGGGCTGGGAAGGGCTGGGAACTGAGAGGCCTTTTGACCTGGATCTGGGCCCCACATGGAGAACCCAAGGATCCGGGAGGAGACTGCAGTGAGCAATCCCAGGCAATCCGTGGGTTGGGGGAGAGAGGCCCATCAGGGACATGTAACACCCACATTTCAGGATCGGGGCACCTTAAGCCACTATGATGCATATGTGGCTAAAGTCAGTGGGTGACAAGCAGGGCTTAAGGGATAGCTGTCTCATCATTACTCGCCAGCTCCCTGCCCTGCGGTAAGACCTGCTACCACCTGGGGCTCATTTTGAGATCAACCAGGGCCCCCTTTTTCTCCATGAGGATGTCCACCTGAGGCCCACCTAGGTCTGTGTCCTTTCACAGTGTTTCTCCCAGGCCAGTCATGTTTTGTTTCCATGACCCCGGCTGCCTTGACATGTGTAATCCTCTCTGCCATCCTCACTCCCGCTGCCCTGCCTTCCCATATAAGTTAGTCCACCTCACACGGAATCTGGAGGACCACACTGGGCTCCAGTGTGAGGCAATGTTTTATTTTCTTCAGGTACATGTATTTTAGGGCTACCTCCAGGGCTGGGAATGTGAAGAGATTGCCAAATGGCTGGGGACCTTCAGTGTGTGTCCAGGGAGGGAACCCGGCTGGGAATTAAGGCCCACCTGAGTAATGGTATGGACATCCAGTGTCAGTTATCTTGATAAAGGCCTGCTTTCTTACATCACCTACTATTAATATAAAAGTTAATTCCTTAGAATATTGAAAAAACAAATCTATGTATGAAGAAATATAATTTGTTCATAATTGTATGGAAAAAGCTGCCGACCGATCCATTTTCCATTACAATTCTTATGGGAGACTTGAAGGGTTTAGCAAGTTTTAAGATGCATTTCTATTCGTCTACTCCTGCCAGTTTTTATGATCATTTTTGTAATACAAGGACATGGCCTCTGGAAAGTTTTTGAGGGACTTTCAGCTTCTTTTAGGGTAGATACTTGTAAATTTTGAATTGTTTTCCCCTGCGGTTCTTTTGAGGTTACTCTTTGTACTTTCTTTGGGGGGTGTTAAATTTGTTTTCTTGTTTTGCCCTTGTGGAACTTTCGTTTTCAAGGAATTGTGTGTGTGTGTGTGTGTGTGTGTGTGTGTGTGTGTGTGTTAGATATGGGAGTTAGCCTGTGAGCATGTTTTCGAATATGGATTTTTTTTTTACTTATCAATTTTGGGGGTGTGTGTGTGTGTGTGTGTGTGTGTGTGTGTGTGTTTGTTTCTTTTCAGTTGGAGTCTCACTGTGTCATCCAGGCTGCAGTCAAGTGGCAAACTCTCAGATCACTGCAACCTCTCCCTCCAGCTTCAAAGGATTCCTCTGCCTGCTGATGCTGCTTTTCCCCCACATGAGGAGAACATGCAGACAGTTATAAAAAATTCTGTGCCTGGGTAGGTATGAAAATATAATTTCAATGAATGGTAAATTTCACAAATACAGTTTCACATTTGTATTTTGCAACATTTTGAAAATTTTAGTTGCTGACACATGAAATTCTGTGTTGACTTTCATGTTAAATGTACACTTTTGAATCAATTTCAACAGTGACAACTAGCGAAGGCCAAGCGTTAGTTCAGGAAGCTGAAAGCAGTCGTTCTGTAAAAAAAACCATATTTATTGAAGGTATATTTAGAGAGATTTTAGAAGGCTTCAGTCAATATTTTTGTTTCTGTTGCTCTGGTGTTTTATCATACAGGGACCAGACTGTAGCATCAGTAGCTATAGTTACAAGGCTACCAAAGACTCAGTGCTATAGAAATTATTATTGTGGAAATTGGCAGCCTGGCTGTCTGTTTGAGGAGACTAGAGGACTTAGGAGTTTCCACCCAAAGTACAAGGGCCTGGTTTAGTGGGTGGCCTTCTTTTGCTGAAGTAGATAAGATCCAGGAGAAGGGTGGATTCACTGTAGTAGCCAGGGCTTTGAGACTGGTAAAGCTTATTTGTCCCCTAGTGCCATTGCCAGATATTGGTCTGTGCATAAAGGCACTTCCTGGACTCGCTGACTCCTGTAAATTCAAATGTAGAATTTAGATTTAAATCCCTATTCCAACTTCTTAAACTTAGATCTAATAGGTGGGTAATAAAATATGTATTCAGAAGAAAGGGAGACGTCAGGTAGGTATATAAGCAAATCATCCTGGTCAAATACCTTCAAAAATATTACTACAAAAAATTACTGAAGATTAAACCTTAAAAAAGTTATTTTAATTGGAGAAACAGAAAAAGGTTGGAGTCATTTTAAACCCTGAGGTGTAAAGGTACTGTTATTAGATTACAGGAATTATATACAATGAATAATTTGTGGGAAGAGCAGCATACTATCTCTTTAGTATGGCTAGAGATTCATAAGCCGTGTAAGAAAACTCAGAGATTGAGAAGAAAATGTTCTCAGGGATTTTGTTCTGTTATGAAAGACTTTTAAAATGGTTTCCTACTGATCAATGATTCACTTATATTTATCACTGAGGCATATGCTATATACCCTTCTATATAGGGATGAAGTTATAGTTTCTATCATGTAGATACAAAAACATGTGACTCTGTACCACATTTGCATTAGAGCCTTTGGCATGATTAATGAAGCAAACGGTGGAACTGTCTACGTCAGGTTACAGGTGGGCACAGCTGGAAGCTTCCGTCCCTTGCACTTTAACATTTCTGCATTCTCATCTGTCTCTCCTGGAAAGAAAACGGACTATAACTATCCTAAAGGACATATGTTACATGAAGACACTAAGTATTGAGATAAGACCATGAGTTGTCTTATCAGTGTCTTGGCATTACATTTATATGTATAACTTATACAAAAAATCCAGTTTATTTTATCACGATTACATATTACATCCCACATTTATGTATTTTATTATCTTTCCAGTGACTGTTTTGTTTTGTTTTGTTTTGTTTTGTTTTGAAATCTCGTTCCACTCTGTCACTCAGTCTGGAATGCAGTGGCCTGATCTCAGCTCACTGCAACCTCCATCTCTTGGGTTCAAGGATTTTAAAAATTAGTAAAGAATTTTCAATTGAGTTAGCAGAAGTAAAAATAAACTTAAGTGGAAATAGAACAACAAAATTGTAAACACTATTTCTCAGCAATTCATAGATTATCATACTAGGAATTGAAATGTACTTAGAACTCAATGATACCGCCAATATTAAAGATTAAATCTGTGAGTAGCAAGAAAAGTGATATTACAATAGGAGTTTACAGACAAATATTTCTCTAATAACTTGAAAATTAATGTACTAGATATTTCAATAAAGAATTAGAAAAGAAACAACAGAATCAATTCTGAAAAACTAAAGTGTGGGAATAATGATGTAGACAAAATTAGTAAAACATACAAAGCTAACCTTTGCTTGTTGGAGAAATATAATAAATGATGCAACCGTCAGTCAAGTTTAGAAAAAAAGGGAGAAAACATAGATAAAACTAAGAATTTAAAAGGTACACAACCATAGATACAGCATAGATTAAGAAGCTAATAAGGAAATATCGTTAACACCTTAACCTACAAATTTGAAAACTTAGATCAAATAGACAGATATTTATAATCTGTCTATATATATAGACATATATATCGCTTTCTATATATATTTTCATATTTATACATAATTTTTATATTTGTATCTTACATTTATATATATAATATATAAACATAAGCTATGTATATAGCTTAGTAAAATTGATACAAGAAGACATATATAATCTGTATAGTCTCATAAATGTTCAAGGAAATAAAGGATTCTTCCTAGAGATAAAACGCTAGGCTCAGATTTTTTTCCCCAGGCAGAGCATTTCAATATATATGAAGAATTCTATAGAATAAAAAAGGGAAAATCCTAAACTCATTGTGTGAAGCAAGCAGAACTTTGACGCCAACAAGCCATAAACTGAGTGTAGAAAAAGATATGAAAATTAAGGCCATTCTCATTCCTGAAGCAAATCGTAAAATCCCAAATGTAACAAGATTTATGTGGATTCTTTGAGGGTTAGAAGGAAATTTCCTTCTGCCAGATCCTGCTACTCTGGGACAACCCACACACAAATTTATGTTTTGAGATTTTCTGTAATACCCATGCAATATGGAACTGGCTTGACAATCTGTGTGATAGCCAGCCTGTGGCCATGACTTCTCAGGGACACAAATCTTTTCTGTTTGCCTCCTTGTTCTGCTCAGCTCCAAGAGAACTTTGACCAAAGTTCCTTGAGCTTGGAAATAGGAATGGGTTTGCTTCTGTTTCACCCTTACTGTGAAGATACAGTCCGGTGGAATCCAGATCCACTGGGAGAGAGTCGGCTATTAAACTCTTTTCATGAGTAGTCCCTAGGCCTTGACTGGAGTCTTTCTTGAGATATGAGGCTAATAGTTCCTTCTTGGTCCACCACTTTTTGATATAATTAATGCTTCTTCTATTGGGAATTTTTAATTGTTTGGGAAGTGACATGGTTTGGTGTGTCTCCATTCAAATCTCAGCTTCAATTGTATCTCCCAGAATTCCCTCGTGTTGCGGGTGGGACCCAGGGGGAGGTAATTGAATCATGGGGGTCGGTCTTTCTCATGCTATTCTTGTGACAGTGAAGAAGTCTCACGGGATCTGATGGGTTTTTCAGGGGTTTCTGCCTCAGGTTCTTCCTCATTCTCTCTTGGCATTGCCATGTAAGAAGTGCCTTTATTCGTATACCATGATTCTGAGGCCTCCACAGCCATGTGGAACTGTCAGTCCAATTAAACCTCCTTTTATTCCCAGTTTCAGGTATCTCTTCTTCAGCAGCGTGAAAATGAACTAAGACAGGAGGTTTGGTCCAAATAACCTTGGCTTCCATGACAGAAGATAGAAGTTGCTGAAATGTTTAATCTTTTCTGTGGCAACCTTTTGCAGTGGGTCTTATTTTTCTCATTTTTTTTTTCTTGTTCTCTTCACCTTTGTTTCTCACAGGGTACTCTCGCTCTGTAGACCAGGCTGGAGCGCAGTGGCAGGATCTCAGCTCAACACATCCTCCGCCTCCCAGGTTCAGCCTCTGCAGTAGCTGGGATTACAAGCATGCATCACCACGCTCAGCTAATGTTTTGTATTTTTAGTAGAAGCCAGGCTTCACCATGTTGGCCAGGCTGCTCTCCTACTACAGATCTCAGGTGACCCGCCCGACTCAGCTTCCCAAAATCCAAAGTGCTGGGAATACAGGTGTGAGCCACCGAGCCCAGCCAACTCCAGTACTTTTTACCTAAGCCAGTGGACGAGTGGAGTTGCCTTTATTTTTTTTTTTTTCTTTTTTCAGTCATGGTCTCGCTGTGTCATCCAGGCTGGAGTGCAGTAGTCTGATCTTGGCTTACTATACAATCTCTGCCACCCATGTTCAGGTGGTTCTCCTGCCTCAGCCTCCCAAGTAGCTGGGACCACAGGAAAGTGCCACTAGGTCTGGCTAATTTTTGTATTTTTGGTAGAGACAGCTTTTTGCCATGTTGCCCATGCTGGTCTCCAACTCCTGACCTCAAGTGACCCACCAACCTCGGCCTCCCAAAATGTAGAAATTACAACAAGAGCCACGAAGCCTGGCCTGGAGTTGTGGCTTTTTGACATAAGAAATCTGTGGAGGGAAAAGCTTGGTTTGTGGGAGCACCCGAGCTCAGTTTGGCTCAAAGGTTTGGGATACCTATTATTGAGTGGCAGTGATGGTATGTTGTTAATGTACAATATGTTCCTGTATATAGCATACGTCTATGCTCATCAGATATTTTCAGGTAAAAAAAAGATAGTCTTTCCAGTAGTTTGAGCCATTATAGCAATTTCCACCAGGGGATTTCAAAGTCCAATTCCAGTTGTGGGCAACAGTGATTAACATAATGGTAATTAATGAGAAGAGATTTTGAGACGTCCAGCCACGTTTCCATGTCAGTGCCTTGTTTGCAGTATTATGAAGAAAGCGTGCATTGGACTAGATACTAAGAAAAACATTGAATTATTTTTCTTGCCTCTATAACATCAAAGGACAATTAGAGATATAGAAACTATGGAACATTTCACAGCATGGCTTGACATTTCACTGAACGTTTATCCTTTTAACCATGTACAAAGTTTGTTACCTATGCAAAGGTAGGACTGCAAAAGGAAGACAGAGGTGGAGTCAGAGGTCACAATCCACAGCAAGGTGACACTCTTGTTGATCGCACCTTGAAAGCCAAATTAGAGCGAGAATTAACTTTCCGGTTGCCGTAAGAGAACAAGGAGAATGAAGCTACCAGCAGTTAACAGTATTGGATTAATTGAAATGAAGGTGGACAGAGTTTTTTGGCTTTCCATCAAATTGAGTAAAGAAAAGGTAACCGCTTATCTAATTTCACACACATACAATTATGGATTAATTAAAAGATTACACAACCCATATATTATGGGTTTCTCATATAAGTGTATATATACATGGGCAAACTCACAGTGTGCCAGTATGTGTCTATATCCAAATATATACAAATCCATGTCCAACAGTTAGCAAGTGAGAAATTCTCTTCCATTTCACCATTCCCTTTCCTAGAATTTTTTCATAAATATAATTTTTCCATATATTTGAAGCCTACTCTCTGGAGGCATGTAATGCATGCATGCAGTAAACCTGTGCGATATCACAATGTTGGTGTCAGAGAAAACTATAACACCGATGTTATAAAAGATTAATTGTGAGGAGAAAGTTATGCTTCGCATTACTACAAATACACAAGTATGATTTCATCCAAAGCTGAAATCAGTCAATATAATTTGTTTTTAATGTTTTATTTAAAATCCTTAATTTCAACAGGATTACTCAAGAAAAATAACGTTATTGGTATTAAATAATGTTGACGTATTCCCTTTAATTGTTGATTATTTAAAATGTCAGTAAAATAGTAAATGGCACTGTACAATGTAGTTTCATGAAGCATTCTTTATAGTTTTCATAAAATTGATAGTCTCCATGGAATATTTTAAGACTGAGGAAGTTCCATATATCATTTGATTGTACTTTCACTTTATTACTTGCTTGCATGTCATAACTGATGGAAATAAAACTATGTATATTTACAAATATGAAAAACATGGATTTTTGTTTACGTTTTCTAGTGAGACACAGTTACCAATAATTTTATCTATATAGGAAAATTTTTACAAACCCAAAGTTCTAATGTTTCTTTTCTTTGAAGTTTCGTATTTCAGTCTAGGTATGTAATGGAATTGGCTGTGATCATTCTTTGATTTCACTGTTATTTGTGAGTTTCTGATATGCTTTTAGGAATGAATAGAGTTTAACGCTTGCTTTCTTCTTCTTCCTCTACCTTTGGACCTGTATATGCGATGTCTGCAGTAATGTGCAGTGCTATCTGACATACGGTTGCTGAAAGATACAAGCATATATAGAATTCTTCGTTTCAGTGAATCTTTAGGAACAGACAAGTAACCTGAGAGATAATTACGGTATGAATGTAAGCAAGCAGTTTATCATAGAGGTACAATAAGGGTGAAAATAAATTTAAAAATACATGCCTCATCCAAAACATGAGGTAGTAAAAATGAAAAAATTTAAGTTGGCATAAAGAACACTTTAAAAGTTCTGATTCTTTCTGGTGAGAGCAAGGAGCTCAGAAACCATGAGAAAGTCCTTCAAAGCTGCATGTTGGATTTGCAGGTCAGGATGGAAAGCCTGGGTCTGGGGGAGGGCGCTAAGGTCCTGGTCAGGTTGAGGTCCTTCTGGGGCTCAGGTGTGTCTCAGCGGGAAAGCTGGGAAGGGGAAACGCATGCTTCACCCCGGCTAGAATGCCACCTCAGCCCACCTAGATGAAATTGCCCCTTCACAGCCCTGTTTCTCCTTCTTGGACAGGCAGGTGGAGGAACTCGGCCACCCTGAATACAAGGGGTAGGAAGAAGTTTGCCTTTCATCACAACATTTACTTCGGAAACAAAGTGATGACTAAGGAGTATTGCATTGGCATCCTCCCTGAGGAGTAGAGGGGGTAGTACCTCGGGAGCTGGGCCTGGCGTGCGCCTTCCTGACTCGTCTCCCTCCAGGATACAGGGTGACTGGCTCCACTGCAGTCCAGTGGTTCTAGGGTCATGCAGGTGAAAGCCCGAGTTTCCCGCAGGTCACTGCCTGAGCTTCTTCAGCTGGTTGTCTGACTGTGAGGGCCCAGGTTACGGCACGATTGCTGAGGTGGGGCAGCTATGGGGCATCATGGCAAAGGACCTTCTTCGACATTCCTTGGCATCGGAGGAATTGGCTTTGAACCAGAACCTGACCTGTCACGACCAATTTGCCCAGTCCACCAGATCATCAGCCAGGGCCTGTGGCTCTATATTCTGCAGCACTACCCAAGGGAGTTAGGCCCTCAGAGAGGGAACAGAGAAGAGGCCAGGGAAGCAGCCCAGGGCTGGGGGTTGACAGGCCTGTGGGTCCTGGAGTTAGGACACACATAGAGAAGCCAAGGCTCAGGGAGGAGACTGCAGTAAGGAAACTCAGGCCATCATGGGCTGGTGGAGAAATGCCCATTAGGGAACGGTGGTACCCACATTTCACGATGGGGGAACCGTAATCTGCTTAATAGGCATAAGTAGCTAAGGTCAATGGGTGGGAAGCCAGGGTCAAGAGATAGCTGCCTCATCATCCCTTGCTAGCTACTTCCCTGTCCTGAGGCTTGCTTCTACCTGGGGTTCAGTTTGGGCTCAACCAGGGATCTCTCACCCTCCACACAGATGCCCACCTGAGGCCTCTCTAGGTCTGCGTCCTCCCAGAATGACTCTCCCAGGCCTGCTAAGTACCGTTTGGATGACACCACGCTCCACTGACATGCTTGGTTCCCTCCGCCATCCTCATTCACCCAGCAACTCCCCACCCCAAAAAAGGCAGGCCACCGCACAGGGAATCTGGAGGACCACACAGGGCTCACAGGGGAGGAAATGTGAAGAGATGGCAAAACAGAACAGGACATTCCGTGTGTTTCCAGAAGGCAATCTGGCTGGATATTAAGGCCCACCTCAGTATTGGTGAGGACACCCAGTGTCTCTTGGCCCTGAGCTTGTGCACACAAACACGCACATTGTCTAAACGGCATTGACATCACTACTACCTGAGTCATCCTCAGATTCTATACAACCCCTGTAAAAATATCAATGACACATTCTTCTTAGAAAAACAATCTGGGAATCCCAAATTTGCTATGAAATGGCAGAAGATCCTGAAAACCCAGAGCAATCCAGTAAAAAGCACAAAGCTGGAGCCACCACACTACCTAACTTCATGATATACTACTACAAAACTTTTTGTACCAAAATACAATAGCACTGGCAGAAAAGCAGAGACTAGAGCTTAGGAAAAACAACAGGAGCCCAGAACTAAGTCACTGCATTTGCAGCTCACAGCCTTTTCCCAAAGAAGCAAGAACGCCCAATGCAAAATCAAGTATCTTCTATAAACTAGGTTGGGGAAATCTGAATAGCCACACAAAGGATTTTACAAGTGGATTATTTATCACCAAACTCCAGTGTCAGATGTGAAACGATAAAAATAGCAGAAGAGATCACAAGGAAGAAGCTCCATGGCGTCCGTGTGTGCAATGATGGTCTCAAAGTGACTGCAAGAACACAGTAAACACCATCAAAAATAGAGAATGGAATCATATCAAACTAAAGTGCTTCACCACACCATAGAAAACTCAACATACAGAAGGGGCATCCTACAGGATGGGAGCAATGATTGGATCACCATACATCTGTTCATGGGGGAATAGTCACAGTACATAAGGAACTCCCAACAACTCAATAGCATGAAAACAAATGGGCGAAGGCTGCGAAGACTCATTTGTGAAACTGAGACATACAGTTGCCCAGAAGACACACTAAAAATTCCTCATTATCCCCAATCCATCACGAAAATGCAAATCAAAAACACAATGAGATTTCTTCTCACTTCAGTCAGAATGCATATTATCCGAAAGACAAACAAACAAAAAAAAAAAAAGAAAGAAAAGAAAACCCTAATCTCTGGTGAGGAGGCAGAGAAAACGAATTCCCTGCTCACTTTTGGGGAGAATGTAAATTAGTGCTGGCATTAAAGAAGCTTTATGGCTCTTATTTAAGTATAAACAGCCTTCAGAAATCTACAAGTAGAACCACCCACTATATGATCCAGCAAATCAGAATACCCGGGCACGCCCGCCAGTACACAGATCAGTATGTTGAAGCGGTGCGCGCACCCATGCAATTATTGCTGCACTCATTACATTTTTGCTGTAGCCAAAATGCGGAAGCAACCTGAGTGTCCCTCCATTGATAAGTGGATTAAAAAATGGGGCAAAAACGCATATGCGCAACGGAAATATGCGCTGCAATAAGAAATCAGGAAATCCTGCCAGTTGTGAGAATGTGTGGGAATCTGCTGAATGTGTGCATGCCATTCTGTTAAGTGACATAAGCCAGGTATCAGAAAGGAAAATAGCACATGATCTCATTCTTATATGAAATCAAAAAAGCGGACTTCACAGAAGTAGTGACTCCAATGACTGCGGTGAAGAGGGTGCACTGACGAGATGCTGGATGAAGAACTCATACTTCTAGTTATAAAGGAGGAATAGGTTAAAATATTTTCTTCAGCATGCTCACTATAACTAGTGGTAACATATTCTTTCTCTAAAAATATTCGAATACAGTGCAGGTCAAGTTTTTTCACAACAAAAATGACAACTATGTGAGGTCACACATATGTTGATTGGCTGGATGTATCCAATGCATAATGTATATGACCTGTTGAACATCACGCCTTAAGTTGTAAATATGTATCATTTCATATGACATTTTTTAAACAAACATACAATTTTTAAAATGCCTTAACAAAATAAATGCAAATAAAATATTTTATTATAAAGCAGTGCTTTTCTTTTCTAGCAAAGTCTTTTTCATGACACAGGAAAGAATGCAAGCCGTTTCGTAACTTGAGAAATAAATACATATGTGTACATGTATATATATACGTATATACATGTATATACGTATATAAATGTGCATATATACGTATATACATGTATATACGTATATATGTGTGTACATAGGTATTCTTATATAGGTATGTATATATATATATATATATATATATATATGAAAATCCCAATGAATGCTGATGATGAGTTGAAAGATAGAAATTCCAGGCACAGAGGCTATAGTCCATGAATTGAAACCTTCAGTGCATGTTTCAAAACAAGACGTGAGGAGGAGGAAGAAAAAAGCAAAAAACACAAAGCCATGGCAGGGCCATGGGTCACACCTGTCATCCCAGCACTTTGATAAGCTGAGGTGGGAGGATTGCCTGCACTCAGGAGTTCCAGATGAGCCTGGGGCAACATGGACCCACATTCAAAAAGTAAGTATTTAGTTAATTAATACATAGCTTGGAGGGGTGGCATGCACCTGTACTGCCAGGTGTGTGAGAGTCTGAGTTGACAGGATCACATGGGTGTGTGGTGCCTGGGCTGCAGTGGGCTGAGATCGTGGGGCTGCTGTCCAACCTAGAAGACAGAGTAAGACCCATTCTCGGAAAACAAACAAAAAAACAGTCACATTAGGTAAATTAAAACTATGTAGTGTGAGGAGAATCAAAATAAACGAAACATCATTAGAGCCTACGCGATGTGATGAAGGAAACCAGCTTTCACATAATAACAGCCCCGGCTGGGGAGAACAATGAGAAAGGGCAGAGAGAACCCTGTAAATAATACCACGCCAAATTCCCCAAATGAGTTAAAACACATAAAAGTACGAAGAGTGCTTCTTTTCAATTCAATGCCCTTGAATTCAGAATTAGAAAGTAAACCCAGATAGAGAATAGAAACATAGACGATACAGATGGAGAGAGTGTGGTGGGGAAGCAAGGGAAGGATGAAAGGAGGGGTGTAAAGGAAGGAAAAGAAAAAAGGAAGGGAGAGAGAGTGACAGATGTTCAAAGACACAGATACAAAGTCTACAATGGTTGTAGAGATAGGCATGTGCAAATTGCCGCAGGGAGTGTGGAAAAATATCGGAACCACGGAGACATAGGTGGAGTCAGAGAAAATATACAAACCCGCACAGAGAAATAAACATACGCAACCACAAACACACACGTGCTACTTTAAACACGAAAAGACACCAAGTCCCTGTCGGTACAAATCACAGATGTGCTTCCGAGTTACTGAGGCACGGTGCAAATTTGTCAGTGCCCTTAGCATCTGTGGCCCACGTGCACGGATATTCAGTGGAAGAAGCATTACACAGCCTGTATAATTCAGCACGATCTGTGATAATACCAGAAGAAGGGATCTCATGTGAAATCACTAGACTGAATTGCACGTAGGATTCAAGCAAGAAGCCCAGTCTGCTGCATCGACTCCGTGGGGTGGCAATATGGCTGAGCCACCAACCCATGGCACGCCCATCCATCGTAGACAGCTCCTGGTTTGCTACCTGCCTTGGAAAAACCTCCTCCCCTACCACCACTTTAAAAAAGGCTAGCTCCAAAACTAGCCCTGGCATCTATTTACGGTCATTTTCTTATCTATTTACCTCCTAGAAAAATCATTGCAAGACCCTTTCCTCAACATTTTCCTATGCCTTAAATTTGGGGCAACACGTTTTAAGACGACCTCGTTATAGGCAAGTCCCCAGACGTTTCCTAATCTGAGTTGCCCAGAGTGCACACACCAATCTGTTGCCCCATTGCCGCTATAGGGATACCGTACTGGACCACAGTGTCTTTGACATGCACACAGTAGGATAGAGGGCAGCTTGAGGGGGCCAAAGTGTTCCGACTGTTTTCAGAATAATTTGCTTAGAACACCTGTTTCTCCTGTGTTTGTGGGTCAGGGGGACGGTAGTCAGAGGAGGACAAGACTCCCGCTCCAGAGCTTCAGAGGTCTGCATAGGAGCAGGGACAAAACCGGGCGATAGATTTTCAAAGCTCAACTGCTTTGACACCGAGCAGGAGGTGTAGAATGCATATTGCAGGCACCACAACAGATTCAGGAACTTTGACTGTCAAACCCTCTTCCCTGAAACAACATAGCTCTTCTCACAGAAGCTGTGCTGACTGGAGTCTATACGGGACAGCAATGTTAGCACTCTAGTAGCGTGTGGTCAACATGGATGCTCGTGTTGGAACTGTTTCATCTGGGAACAGGAAAGAAAGTTCTGCCTCCGACACTGAAATCCTCCTGCCCCATCCTTGACAGAGGCAACCCCTTGTCTTGTGCAGACACACGTGTTCCTGGGAAGCAGCCTCCCACTCGCGAATGAAAGCTGTATGTTTTGTCCTCCTGTGTGAGGCTTGCAAAACATATTCCGCAACTATATTCACTTTACGTTCTAAACCTTAGGCAAACTATGCTGAAGAGGCCACAGAAAATTTAGGGGCCCTGGGTCCAGATACAATCTGCAGTGCCAATCACGAGGGAGAATAGAGCCTCACTAGACTTTGCAAGAGCACAAAATGCACTCGTACTGTTGTTAGCTACATACGTTATTGGCTCCTCACCTAACACAGAATCTTGGAGAAAAGCTTAAAACAACTAAAGATGTAAACATCAACAAGAGTGTCCATATCCTGGGTCATCAAGTGACAAGAGAGTCCATGGATGGATTCTCCAACAATCTTATATTCCACTAATCCACCCCCTTTCCCCTCACTTCTGTAAGTTTCTGTTTTCCCTTAGTCATGTCTGCCAAAAGCGTATCCTGAATGCCTTCCCACATGCCTCTGTCACCTTTCCCACAGTCCCTCCATACACCTTACATGCCCATTTCTTCTCACGTTGATGTTTCAGAAGTCCTGAGAGGCTGATTGTCCCAGAAAAGGATCATGCATTCACCTTTAAAAGAACATGTGGATTCAACACGAAAGCGAACTTTAAGATTTCCATCATCCTGTGCTTAGCTACTGTGTATGATGATACCCAAAATGAAGGATTTTGGAGGTCCCAGCAAACTGGGCCCTGGAAACCCAGTAACCCCTTTCCTTGAACTATCTCTGCTTCCATAGGACGAAGTCAGCCTCCAACTAAGCTGTCTTTTGCTTTTACCTCTCCCACTCTGTCCTGTAGGAAGAATCCCAACACATCCCACACCCATTCACTCTACAACTTTAGAGGCCCAGCTCCAACGCAGACTGGTTATTTCCATGAAGAGAATAAAGCACGTGGATTGATCAATTCATTATGACACCCGAATAAAGTGGATAAACATACACACACACACACACACACACACACACACAAACACAAAGACACACACACACACACAGACACAGAGTCACACATCCTTGAGAATGTTTATTTTTCATTCCATACAATCCACATTTACCCCCTCTTCCTGAATTTTTGTGACTCGATCTCTTTTTCCTTTAGTTCCTGTGCATAAGACCATGCTGAGTACTGCCGTCCTGCATATGGCTGTAACTTTTTAGGAGTTCTGCTGTATTAGGTAAAATCTGATGCTCCATCATATTCAACTCAACAACTGGGAGTCCCCTAGAGAAACACAAACTCATGTTAAAACGCATTTTCTCTGAGCCATACTTTGAAATGTTTCAATTGTGGGGCCCGCTGAGAAAAGGATATCCCTTCCCCATTTGTGATCCCTTAAACTTCCTCCTACCACGTGTTACAAACTGTTCTGCGCAATCCCTGCCCCATTCCCAGTATTGTCTGTGAGGGGAGTCAGCTAACAAGATGCACTGGACCCTAAAAGCACACACAAGTCTGATGGGGCAACAGCTTAAGGAAATCCATCAATCTAAACAGTCCTTTGTGGTTTGGGGCAAGGATGACCAGGACGCACATTCAGGGAGCCCAATCTCATGGGGTTGGCGGGATGACTGCCGGTGGGGTTGACAGCCGTGGAATCAAGTGCCACAGACTGAACTGAATGATTTTCAGCTTTACTTCTCATTGATTCTGGAAATGGACGATTCTTCACTGGGCTTAAGACTCCACAGCTATCACCCGCTTTGCAGTGCAGTCTCTAACGTGCCTTTTCAGCCCAATGCCATGAACGTCCTGGATTCTGTCACTCTCTGTCTTCCTCTCAAGGAATTTCTACATGTACGAAAGGAGCCTCAATTTCTACATTTCTGAAATGAGCACCCAGGCTCCCTGAATAGGCAGGTGTGTCAACCCCCTTATACTGGGCATCAAACAGCTCCAGTGCCAACTAACGGCTCACCTGACGTCTCTGTTCCCTCTTCAGGTGGCTTCATCCTCTTGTAGTATTGCAGGGGATTGCGCCACAGGTCCTTACATAGGATCTGTCAGGGGACTCAATCGGGAAAGGCCTCATCAGGGCTCAGAAAGGTGACCCAAGCAGCTGGGAACACATGGGGTCATTCCTCATGTTTCCCAGTGAGGACTCACCTCAGCAATCTTGTTAGATCCTGCGAAGTTGTGGTCAGAGAACCAGTTGAAGAAGTTAAGGCTGCTGTTGTGGTGTCTGCGGCGATAGGCCTCCACTTCATAATCCGGATACCACTCAATTGGAGTGGAATGAGAAGCCCTGTATTCTACAGAGACAGGAGTTTTTGTGGGAAGGGGGCTGGATCCCGTTGGCAATGATCCACCCACCATCTTCCTTCCACTACCCATCCTGGGAGCCACCTGTCACCTGTGATGTTCACCAGATATTCCTTGGTAATCACTTTATTCTGGAAGTAGGGGTTACTCCGAAAGAACAACATGATCTTGCAGAGATGAACAGGATGCTTCTCTTCTTCCACCTGTCAGGACAAGGTGGAGAAAGCTTAGATAGGTTTTCGGGTGAGGTGCTCACTCTTGCTTACAGGAATGAATTATTTCCCTTACCCTCCCCCGCTAAACCCTCTAGCCCCAGTCTTCCTGGCCTCACCTCCAGGCTGACCATGTAGCTCAGCATGTCTTCATCTTCGTCAGTGATCAGGGCTGACATCTGGGGGTGGTTTGCAATCTGATTTAGGTCAAAGAGACTTTACACACGATGGAAGGGAAAGCGAGGAGCAACAGGGAAGAAGGCCTAAGAGCACCCAGAGGCTGGGGTAGGGGATTTCTCAGATCTGCTTCCATGTATGATCTCCTTTCGCCTCCCCCTCCCCGTAAACTAAGGCCTCCTGTGTTCACAGAGGGTGTATGATTCTGAGGCTGACTGCACTGACATGGGGAGGCGCGATTTGCAGAGACTTGCTGGTGTCTGAGGAGTGGCAGAATCTGCTTATAGCCGAAGACGCCCAGTCCCAGATCGGACTAGCAAGGGGCAGCAATCACACTCCCTTAAAAATAGCTTCATTCACTGAAAAACCTCTTCCGCTCTGAACTCGCTTCTGCTCTTCAAAAAGATGCCCCAAACGTCTGCTGCTCGGCATCACCAAGGGTTTCTCTGCCGCATGCAGGACAATAGTACCCACGCCTGCTCCGGCTTTCCACAGCCACACTGGTCCGTGGCAACTCCCCTTTGTTCCCCAAAGAGTCACATCGACGCCGAGCTGCCCATCGGTCACTTACACTTCCCCGAGAGCACCTCTCCACTAGAAAGGCCGAAGAAACACTGAGAAGGATACAACATTGGCCCAGAAGCCAGGGACGCTCTGGATGACGGCGCCTCTGCGGTCTAGGTGGGGCTTGCGCCTCCGCTCCATCTTTTCCCGCTGCCGAGAAAAGGCCTTCCTGGCTTGGGCATTAACCGGCTCCAGCTCCACCTGAACGGCCAGCAGCTCCTCCAGTGCAGACTCTGGGGTCATGGGCCCAGGGCCAGGCACAGCCTGCTGTGCCCGCTGGGCCTCCTCCCGCCGCTCCACGAGGCCCTCCTCCTCCGCCACCACCTCCACCTCCGCCACCACCTCCACCTCCGCCATTATGTCATCCAACAGCAGCACCGCCTCCTCCCCCAAAGCCGCCTGCTCACTCTCCACCCCGGCCGCCCCCTCCTGTACAGCCTCCATCCTGAAGGCGGTGCCCTCCTTGGCACTCGCACACACCAAGGCCTGTGCTGCCCGACCCACGCCACAGAAACCCTGCCGCAGCCTCTCTGGCACCCGGTAGGTCAGCGAGCCCTCAGGGCGCATGCGCCGGGCTTCCAGGCGCCCCCTAAGGGACTGCGCGCGAAGGGCCGGGGGGCCGCACCCAGGCCGACTTCCTCCCGTCGTGGCCAGTCAATGGGAGGGCGGTGGGCGTCTCCCTGGGCGGCACAGCCACTGGCGGGCCTGCATCTCCAGCCCCCCCAACCCCCGCCTTCCCTGCCCAAGCCTCCTCCGAGAAGCCCTTGGAGCTTGTGCCGGGTAGCTAGGCATCCGGGCACACGCGGGCTGCGTGGCCTTTGGAATTGTGGGCATGGCAGCCCTGTGCCCTGACATCCTCAGTGTGGCAAGCCATGAACATCTCTATGTGTCATGAACACAGGAAACATCTCTCTTCGTTAGGCAGGCCAGGTAGATGGTACGGAGGTAATACAGCAGATGCAGAGAACTCTCTCTGGTTGCTGGGGCTAGGGCGGCAGGGGTGTCCTGGGGGAAGTGATCGGGGCGGGCACGTGGGAGGAAAGTCGCCTGCCGGTGCTGAGGTGGAATTGATCTGCTGTAGAGGCCAGAGCCCCGGCACACACTCTCACAGGTCGAGGCAAATAGAGGCTCCGAGTACCATGCTTCCTCCCTGAGGATGCTGTACTCCAAGGAGCATTCCAAAGGGCCTCTTGTCCTATGCCCTGGGCACACCAGAGGCCAGCCGCCAGGGTTGGCCATTGTCGGCCTGCGCGCACGCTGTTGTGCGCTGCCTTGACGACCCAGAGGCTCCCGCACCCGCAGCAGCGGTTGCGGTGCCTGTTGGTGGGGCTCTGCAAGCCCAGGGCCGGGGCCTCTGGCTCCCGAGCTCCTGTGCGCAGTTGAGCCTGCTGGGGACCGGAGCCCTTTGGCCAGTGCGGGATCTGCGGGTCCAGCGGAGCTCCTCAGGAAACCTGGGTCCACGTAGGTGTGGGACCAGGTTCACAGCAGGGCGACGCCCGTGGGTCTTGCAGGGAGCGGGTCTGCTGGGGAGCGGGCCCCCAGAGCCTACGGGTGCGGGGCATGGGCTGGGCTGGGCTGGGCTGCGCAGGCCCAGGGTCTGTGGGAGCACCCAGGAGAAAACCGTGTTCAGGCTGGAGGCAATGCTGGAGAGGACGGCCGGGGTACAGAGCAAGGAGGCGGCCTTGGAAGAGGAGGCGGTGCTGAAGGTGGAAGACATCATGGCTGAGGTGGAGGTGGTGGTTGAGGTGGAGCCCGACGTGGGGTGGCAGAAGGAGGGCCAGCGGGCACAGCCTGGCCCTGGACCGAGCACACCGGGGCCGTCAATGGACTCGCTGGAGGTCCTTCACTTGGAGCTGGGCTCCGTGAATGCCCCAGGCCACAGAGCATCTCCGCCTTGTGAGCCAGAGCCATATCCTTGCGGCTGCCGATTTGGGATGGCGGGCAGCAGGGGATAGTCATCGGGCCTCGGGGGGTATGGGGGCTGTTTGGGGGGAGGAGCCAGGTGGGAGGCGCGTGGGGTCAGCCAGGAGGCAGGGGATGGGGGACAGCGTGGGAGCCGAGGCCACGTTCCCGCAGCTGTGAGGGCAGCTCGCTTGTAGCAGCCCTGGGAGCACGTGGTAGGGAAGGGGAGCCAGGGCCAGCACTGACAAGGGAGAATCGCGGCGCCAAGGTCCCTTTGCGCACAGCCCAAATTCGAAGGACACGTTTCCCTGGGAACGTCCCTGGAGGACGGGGAATCTGTATGCCATTACCAGCCATTGAACCACCCCTGCTCTCGGTGCCTGTTTCCAGCAGGCTCACCCCAGAAACACAAGGTGCTTAAGACGGGTTCGCGGCGCATGGGGCTGCCGACCACCTGACGGCGGGCACCAGCTCCGCAGATGCGCATTCTTCCAACTGCAGGCGCTGCACTCAAAGGGGTGTAGGCCCTGAGCCTGTATAACTTCCTCTGGACCCACGCAATTCCCTTGGAGAGCGCCAGGCACGACCCTGCTGTGGCTTCTAACTACAAGGCTTCCCTCAGGTGGACAGGCCCACCCCTCAGGGAGACTAGGATAAGAGGACACCACACACCCGGACATCAGCGGAGCATGTCCAGCACCCAGCACACAAAGGCCTCCTGCATCTCAGAAACCCAGAGAAGCAGCCGCCTCACACCACCCCCCGCCCCTCCCGTCCCTCAGCTGCAACCACCTGCCCACTTTTTCTGCCTCCGGTCTCTGGTCAGCCCAGGCCGTCTTGGCCGGGGTCCACCCACTCCAAAAACCACCACAGTTGTGGCGTTGCCTCCTCCCCAGACAGAGATAGAGGGCCAACAATGAAGGGTGACTGGCCAAATGTCTGGGAGATGGCCCTGTTCCACATTGTCTGTGTTCTTGCGAAATTGCAAGGCGTCACGAGGCTTGCCCACCCAATCCTCTGGAGAGTTCTTGCGCAGAGGTAGATTGTTTGGCACACGAGATGTCGGCGTGGGTCAGAAAGCATGCGGAAGTCCTGCTTTGCTACGTGATGGATTTGCAGGTCAGGCTGGGGAGCCTGGGTCTGTGGGAGGAGTCCAGTGTCTGAGTCAGTTTGAGGTCCCCCTGGGACCAGGGTCGTCTCAGTGGCAGAGCTGGGAAAGGGAAACTCATGGCTCACTACAGCAAGTAGGCCACCTCAGCCCAGCTAGTTGAGATGGTCCCATTGAATCCATCCTCTTTCTCCTTGATCCGGCAGGTGGAGGAACACAGCCATCCCGGTTACCGGTGGCAGGATGATTTCCTTTCATCCCAACCTTTATTTCCACAGTGAAATCATCATGAAGGAGCACTGTGTTGGCATCCTCGGTAAGGAATGCCTCCCAGCATGGTAGGAGAGCTGGTGTGTGGGAGGGTGGAACTGGCATGAACCTTCCTGACTCCTCTCCCTGCAGGCTACAGGGTGTCTCATTCCACTGCAGTCCAGCGGTTCTGGGTTCACGAAGGTTAAGCCTCCAGCTGCAGGCAGTACACCTCCTACCTGAGCTTATTCAGCTGTTTGGCTGAACATGACTGCCTGGGTTTTGGCACGAGTTCGGAGGTGGTGTTTGCCGTGGGGCATCATGGGAAAGGACCTAGCTGGTCATTCCTTGGTCTCTGGGGAATTGGCTTTAAACTGTCACCTGAACTGTCCTGGACCCACTTCTGCAGTCCCCTAGATCATGAGCCAGGGCCTATGGCTCAATCCATTGCATTTCTATCCCATGGGGACTGGGTCAGCCTTAGAGGCGTAACAGAGAGGAGGCCAGTCGAGCAGCCCAGGGCTGGGAAGCGCTGGGAACTGAGAGGCCTTTTGACCTGGATCTGGGCCACACATGGAGAACCCAAGGATCCTGGAGGAGACTGCAGTGAGCAATCCCAGACAATCCATGGGTTGGGGGAGAGAGACCCATCAGGGACATGTAACACCCACATTTCACGATCGGGGCCCCTTAAGCCACTATGATGCATATGTGGCTAAAGTCAGTGGGTGACAAGCAGGGCTAAAGGGATAGCTGTCTCATTATCATTCGCCAGCTCCCTGCCCTGCGGTAAGACCTGCTACCACCTGGGGCTCATTTTGAGATCAACCAGGGCCCCCTTTTTCTCCACGAGGATGTCCACCTGAGGCCCACCTAGGTCTGTGTCCTTTCACAGTGTTTCTCCCAGGCCAGTCATGTTTTGTTTCCATGACCCCGGCTGCCTTGACATGTGTAATCCTCTCTGCCATCCTCACTCCCGCTGCCCTGCCTTCCCATATAAGTTAGTCCACCTCACACGGAATCTGGAGGACCACACTGGGCTCCAGTGTGAGGCAATGTTTTATTTTCTTCAGGTACATGTATTTTAGGGCTACCTCCAGGGCTGGGAATGTGAAGAGATTGCCAAATGGCTGGGGACCTTCAGTGTGTGTCCAGGGAGGGAACCCGGCTGGGAATTAAGGCCCACCTGAGTAATGGTATGGACATCCAGTGTCAGTTATCTTGATAAAGGCCTGCTTTCTTACATCACCTACTATTAGTATAAAAGTTAATTCCTTAGAATATTGAAAAAACAAATCTGTGTATGAGGAAATATAATTCGTTCATAATTGTATGGAAAAAACTGCTGACTGATCCATTTTCCATTACAATTCTTATGGGAGACTTGAAGTGTTTAGCAAGTTTTAAGATGCATTTTTATTCTTCTACTCCTGCAGTTCTTATGATCATTTTTGTAATAGAAGGACATGGCCTCTAGAAAGTTTTTGAGGGACTTTCAGCTTCTTTTAGGGTAGATAGTTGTAAATTTTGAATTTTTTTCCCTTGTGGTTCTTTTCAGATTACTGTTTGTACTTTATATGGGGGGTGTTAAATTCTTTTTCTTATTTGCCCCTTGTGGAAATGGTAGGTCTGGGGAAAAGGAAGGAAATAATAGGCTAGATATATGTAAATTATGTGTTGGAAATAGAAGCTTAGGTGACAGACAGTAGTTGATTTGTCTGGCCACAGTCGTTTTGTCATCTGTTATATTCTTATAACTACCTATTTATGGGCTATTTGCTAATGACTATTTAAAAAAATCTGTTTCATCAGCAATGGCCTAAAAATGCAAGTAGGTACTTAATTGAAAACTACTCAGTTTCCCGTTCAATCAAATTATGGTTTAAAGAGTGCCAGTAAACACATGGGGTAGTCATGATACCCATGGGGTAGCCTGTGATCCCATGTAGTCCATGTTGGGATCACAGGCTAAAAGTGATATCCTGAAATCCAGAATACAGATGGCTGAGGGGAAAAAGCAGCTGCTATTTCATAACATAATAATTAGTTACATTAAGAAAACTATGCCTGAAGATGACATTTTCACAGGTTTAGTGTGTGAATTTGGAAAAATTAAGCATATAATTCTGAGATGCCTGGCTTTTTATTTATATTATATTACTATTTTAAAAAATCAATTGTGTACATTTTAATTCTAATTTTTCTGCACTTAAGAAATATGCATCAGTAATTGTTAGTATGTTAGCTCCATTAGCTACAGAAGAAATTCCAAAAGAATTGAATAATGCCATTTAGATGTTTCAAATAGAAAATTACATTAAAAAACAGTTTGAATTTTTAATCAATCATTGCAAACAAAATAAAGCTTTTGAAATTTATTGTGCCAGAAATAAAACATTGAACAATGTGTGATAAATGATTTTTAATGTTCAGTTAAAAAGCTAAACATTGGTGATAACTTTTATTGGTGACAACAAGAAGCAACTTTGGAAAAGCTTGCAAGTAACTTTATTTAAAAATCAATATAACATTAAAAGAAATGCATTTTCTAGAAAAGAACTATGTATAATTATTGTTAAGAAACACATTAATTCATATAAATATGTTCAGAATCGTTATTCTGCCTACTATTTCTAATGTTTAAACAATAAATTTAAAGAAGTTATTTTTCTCTTTTGCTTCAAGATATACTATTGTGGTTTTAAATTTTTCAAGGTATTTCATTTTCAAAAATATTTGGAAGGTAACTGTTTTATAGATCCAACCATACAGTAAAAACAATTTGCCTGTAAGGAAATAATATATTAAATAATAAATGGTTTTGTATATGTTCGTACTCTTTTATCCTAAAAAAGTTTCCATTGGATCAATAAAGGTTTTAGTCACCCTAATTTTACTAAATATGATTAGATAGTCCTGTGGATTGATGGGAAAAATTATCATTCCTTACATTCTTGACTACACTCAGTAATTATTATTTTAATAGTTGACAAGCTAATGAACAAAAGTTGGAACCTAATGTGGTTTTGATTTATATCCCCAGATTACTAATGAGTTCAAGCATCTAGCCATTTTTCGTTGGTCAGTTGACTTTCCTCTTTTCTAAAAAGGATCTAATTATTTACCTGTACTGCTTTCTTCTACTGGGCTAGATTGTATATATTTTTTCCTGTACATTTGTATGAGTTATTTTGATTATTTTGCATAGTGGTAATTTTATTTATATTCTTCCTAGTGATGTTCTGAAGTTTTACAAACACCCAAGATAGTTTTTAGAATTTATCATCTGAAGATTTTCCAAAAGCTAACTCAGAAGTCATTTGAGGCCATAATGCTAACTTCAGATGAAAAAATTATTTTGCCATTTTAGCAAAACATACTTTAAAGACACTAATTAGAAAGCACTGAAGTGCTCACTTCTATCTTTTTAATAAAACTTGCATTTAAATAGTCATTTCAACAAAATCCTTTACCCTTACAGTAAGAACCAATTATTAAATGTTGATTACCTAGCTCCTGGATGATTGTCTAAATATTTCACAATTGTCATTTTGGTAATAATCACTTAGCATACTTGTGAGAATTACTGGTTCTCCAGGTCTCATTCCAGGTGATTGAACCAGGATTTTGAAGTAAAATAGCTATAAGTTTCTGGGTATATGTTTTATTTATGACCCATGTAATTATTTGAGGATGTTTGTGAAACTCTGATCTGACACATAAGAGAAAGTAAAACAACAACAAAAAACCAAAAACAGAACAACAACCATAAAAAAAAATAAGCCCCACACAAAGAATATCAAGCCAGGAGTCAGGAATAAATATGATATCTTTTCATAACGGCAGCCTTCTCAATTCATATGGCCCTATCTTCTTTTTCATTCTTGGTAAATACTACTCCAACTGTCTAGCACTTCACGGTAGCGATTAACCTGTTAGTTTGCAATTTAGCAAAATATATGAAACCTATTTCTGAACATTTTCTTTAGGATCATTTTTCTAGCTATACAACATGGGTCAGTTAATGCTATGTATGGCTATAAAATAGCAGTATTTAACAAAAATATTTGACCACTGTGGCAAAATTATCTTCTGTAATGAACCACTGCTACTAAGATTACATTGACATTTTGGAGACTGTACTGACATTTTGGATATTATATACTCAAGGAAGATTGGAAAGCGTCTTCAGATGTCATTGTCTATAATGATAAGAGTTAATACTCGTATTAACTTTCAAATTTTTCTATGTTAAAGCATGCGTGCAGGTATTGGATGAACAGGTAGGCCACAGAAGCATGGCTGTGGTTAAAGTTGTAAAAGTTTTGGCAAAATTGTGCACACCAACATCTCCACAGAAAATTTAGATTTTGGCTCAGCTAGGAGATGTTGAAGAAAATTATATTTTTTATTCTTAATGATTCCCCAGCTGGTTCTTAAAGGCAGATAGCACAATATTGTGGAAAGAGGTAGTTTTGCAATCTGAAATTAGACTTTAAGAGGAGTTAATGACTTTGAGAGTCAAATTTCAGATGTATGAAGTGGGGTCTGAAATATCTAGTACCTTTGTGTGTAGTTATAAAGATTATATAATAACAATTGATTCTATTTGCCTTGTACTTTTCTGTAAAACAAAGACATAATTTAATTGTGTTACTTAGTATAGATTTGTGTGGGCATTTTTAAGGATAATTTATCTCATCATAAATAAAATGGTAATACTGGCAGAGAATGGTACTTACTCCAACATTGACATTGCAGAGCTCCAGCTGTTCTGTAGAGAAACTGGCGTGAATTGAAGAAAAAAAAACTGGACGATTGAAGGTTACTTACGGGCCACTCTTCATTTACTAAGACTATGTAATTCTCAGAGAGGACACACAACCTGTGAAGAGTTGGATGTAAATGATGAAGAGTCATTGAGAAAAGGCTGCCTGAAGAATCATCCTCTACATTTCTAGCTTGAAATACAGGGTATTTGGTGCTGTGAATTTCTGAAATAGTGGAATACTGTAGGAGGAAACATGTTTTGGGGATGAAAGGAAGGTCTGGTTTTGGTATGTGGAGATGTAAGGCATGAAGTTGGATATGCCAAGTCTGAAGGTAGAACAAAGATCTGGCCTGAAGTTGAGAATTTCTTAATGGTCAGCATAGAAAGGGTGTTTTAGCCTTGAGAAAACCCAAGAGGATCCATGACTGAGATCTGAACAACTTCAACACCTGTAGATTTAGTAAAGATGCCAACAAACTACACACCAAGTTCATATTAAATGTATTAGGAAAAGACAAACAACTTAGTGAGAGGCATTCAGGCAACTAGCATTTAGCTAGCTATTAGGTAGCAAATTTCGGAAAAAATAAAATGTATAAAGAATCTTTGATCAGGTTTCCAAATATACAAAATAAAAACCACTTACATGTTAGAAGACAATATACAAAATGATATTATGTTAATGGTACTATTTAATGCTAATAGACAAAAATGAAAATTATTCTGAATTAAATCAATAGACAATATATTTTCTATCACTGTCTTTTCTTCTCAATTTGTGTGTTGTTTTAATTCACTAAGCAATGACTCCTCTTAATTCCACTACTTTTTATTTAACACTGCATTTTTTTTCATATGTGCAATATTACGCTGCCCAATAGAGAGGAAATGCAGAATTTGGTCTATTATATCAGAAACACCTTAGTTTTTCAGCTTTGGGCTTGTGCAGTGTGGTTAATTTAAAGGTTCTCATCAGGCTTTGATTTTTGTAGTTTCTGTAATCACTTCTCCAAAATAAACAATGTCTGAAACTAATGACTACAATAAAATTAAAATTATGCTGGCTTTTAAGATAATTATGTTTATGTAAATTTGATGCTTTTTTTGGGGGGTGTGGGGTGGGGGAGACAAAGCTTTGGTCTTGTGACCCAGGCTGTAATGCAGTGGCGTGATCTTGGCTCACTGCAACCTCCACCTCTCGGGTTCAACCGATTCTCCTGCCTCAGCCCACCAAATAGCTAAGATTACAGGAACCTGCCACCACGCCCAGCTAATTTTTGAATATTTAGTAGAGATGGGGTTTCACCATGTTGACCAGGCTGGTCTTGAACTTCTGACATCTGGTAATCCACCAGCCTTGGCCCCCCAAAGTGTGGGGATTACAGGCGTGAGCCACCCCACCTGGCCTTCAAATTATGTTTTCATACCCACTCACTTCCACAATTGTTTGGAACTATCTGCATGTTCTCCTCAGGGGTGGGGGGATGGAAACAGTATCAGAGTTCTTCAAAAATTTATGAAAGAGAGAATGACAATACTATACAAGGTTTAACCTATTCACAATACTGTGAGCCCAGTGTGGTTCTCCAGATTCCCTGTGTAGTGGCCTCTCTTGTCTGGTGGGGCAGCGTGGGGCAGGGAAGTGTGAGTGATGATGGCAGAGAGCAGAAAGCATCTCAGGGAAGCCTGGGATCATTGTAACAAAAAATGATGGGCGTGGGACAGCCCATCAGGGAAGACATAGGGACCTTGGGAGGATATCTGCGTGGAGGGTGAGAGGGCCCTGGTTGAGCCCAAACTGAGTCCCAAGTGGTGGCCGGCCTCAGGCCTCAGCTGGTGAGGGATGATGAGACAGCTACCACTTGAGTCTTGCTTCTCACCCATTGACCTTAGACACTTATTCCTCTTAGGCGGCTTAAGGTGCCCCAATCCTAAAATGTGGGTGTTACAGTTCTTTGATGGCCATTTCTCCGCCAGCCCATGGATGGCGTGGGATTGCTCACTGCAGTCACCTCCCTGAGGCTTGGATTCTCCATGTGGGGCACAACTCCAGGAATAAACGGCCTCTCAGTCCCCAGCCCTAGACTGCTCACCTGGCCTCCTCTCTGTTCACTCTCTAATGGCCTCCCTCCCTGGAGAAGTACTGCAGGGGATTGAGCTACAGGCTCTGGCTGATGATCTAGGGGACTGCAGAAGTGGGTACTGGTTAGTTCAGGTCATGGCTCAAAGCCAATTCCCCAGAGGCCAAGGAATGACCAGCAAGATCCTTTCCCATGATGCCCTACCTGGCGCTCACCTCAGCAATCCTGCCAGAACCTGGGCAGTCATGGTCAGCCAACCAGCTGAAGAAGCTCAGGTAGGAGCTGTACTACCTGCAGGTGGAGGCTTCACTTTCATGATCTCACAACCACTAGACTACAGTGGAATGAGACATCCTGTATCCTGCAGAGAGAAGAGTCAGGAAGATTCATGCCAGACCTACCCTCCCACACACCAGCTCCCCTACTATGCAGGGAGGTGCTCCTTACCGAGGATGCCGAAGCAATACTCTTGAATGATCACTTCATTGTGGAAGTAAAGATTGTGATAAAGGGAAAACTTCATCCTGCCTCCGGTACCCGGGATAGTTGCGTTCCTCCCCTTCCCTGGCCAAGAAGGAGAAAGAGGATGTACTCAAAGGACCATTTCACGTAGCTGGGGTGAGGTGAGCTGTTAGCTGGGGTGAAGCATGTGTTTCTCCTTCCCAACTCTCTCATTGAGACACCCCCGCATCCCAGGGGTACCTCAACCTGACCCAGACACCAGACCCCTCCTGAAGACTCAGGCTCCTTAGCCTGACCTGCAAATCCATCACATACGTAACTTAGCAGGACTTCATCATCATTTGTGATCCCGGCCAACATCTGGGTGTGCTGCACAATCTGCCTCTGGTCAAGGAGCCGCCAGATGATTGGGTGGGCGTGCAAGGAAACACCCTGCAAGTTTGCAAGAGCACGGAGAGTGTGGGGCAGGGCACCTTCCCTTCCAGGTCCTCTGTCTCTCTCTGGCGTGTAGGGCACCATCAGAGCTGTGGTGGTCTTGGTGGTGGGTGGAGACAGGCCCAGACAACCTGCTCTGACCAGGGGCTGGCACTGAAGAAGTTGGCAGGGGGTTGCGGGCAGGGTGTTGTTGTGTGAGGCAACTACTTGCTCAGTGTTTCTGAGCTGCAGGAGGCCCTCCTGTGCTGGGTGCTGGACAGGCTCTGCTGCTGTCTGGGTGTGTGGTCTCTCCTTCTCCTGGTCTCCCTGAGGGGTGCATGTGTCCACCCCATGGAACTGCTGTGCGTAGAAGTAGCTACAGGGCTGTGCCTGGCTCTCCCCATGGAGCTCGAGTGGTTTCAAGGGAGGTTATATATGCTCAGGGCCTAAACATCTTTGGGTGCCGCGCTGGCAGAGGGAAGAAATTGTGTCTGGGGAGATAGTGCCTGCCTTGCATAGGACAGCAGCCCCGTGCACAGTGACACCGAGTCTTGAGCACCTTGTGTTTCTGGGGTGAGCTTGCTGGACACAGGCATGGGGAGCAGGGAAGTTCCACTGCTGGCATGGGCATGCAGACTCCCCTTCCTCAAGGGACTTTCCCAGTGAAACGTATCCTTCAACTTTCTGCTGTTACGAAGGGTCCTTGGCGCTGCTATTCTTCCTTGTGAGTGCTGTGCTTGGCTTCCTGTCCCTACCACATGCCCTCAGGGCACATGCAATTAAGCTGCCCTACTATCTGCATGAGTCTGTTCTCGGCTCCCCTTGTTGTCCCCCATGCCCTGAATCCTGGCTGACCCCCAGTGCCTACCACGTTGTTTCCCCCACCTCCATTCTCAGGAGCTCGGCGCCCATCCCCTGCGGCCAACCATCCCGAATTGGCAGCTGCAAGGATATGGCTCTGGCCCAGAAGCCGGGGATGCCCTGCAGCCTGGGACATTCATGTAGCTGCGCTCCAAGTGAAGGACGTCCAGCGAGTCTGTTGCTGGCCGGGGCGTACTGGGGCCAGGGCCAGGCTGTGCCTGCAGGTCCTCCTGCTGTGGCTCCACATTGGCCTCCTCCTTGGCCACCACCTCCATCTCTGCAATGATGTCATCCCCCACTAGCATGCCTCTTCCCCCAGGGTTGCCTTCCTGCTCTGTGCACAGGCCATCCTCTCCTGCACAGCCTCCAGCCTTAACATGGTGCCCTCCTTGGGGCTCCAACAGAGCAAAGCCTGTGCCTCCCACCCCACCTGCCCCCGGCACCCCTAGACTCTGGGGGCAACTCCAGGAGAGACCTGCGGGCCTTGCCCTGCTGAGAACCACATCCTACACCTATGTGGAACAGGGTTCCTGGGGAGCCCCACAGGACCCTTAGCCTGTCACACTCACAATGGGGCTCAGATACCCAGCAGGGTTAGCTGCGCACAGCAGCCCTGGAGTAGGATGCCAAGGCCCTGGCTTCCAGAGCCCCGCTAGCAGGCACCACGGCCACCCCTGCACTTGTGAGGGCCTCTGCACCAGCAAAGCAGTGCACATGGATCACTGCATTGGCGACCATGGCGGTAGGCCTCCCGTGTGCCCAGGGCACAGGATGAGAAGTCCTTTGGAATGCCCCTGTGAGTACAGCATCCTCAGGGAGGAACCATGGAACTCGGAGTATGTATTTGCCTAGACCTGAGAGAATCCTTGCAGGGTTTCAGCTTCTGGTGCAGATGAATTCCACCTCAGCAACGTACCAGTCGACTTTAGTCCCACGCACCCGCCCTGCCCCAATCCCCCCAAGCCACCGCTGCTGCCCTCGCCCCTGCAGCAGCGCTGGTCCCTCTCTCTCCCCTCTGGATCCGCAATATTCAGTACCATCAGCCTAGCCTGACTAATGAAGTGAGATGTTTCATGTGTTCCCTGTGGGTTAATTAATGTCTTGCCACACTCAGGATGCCAGTTAGTGTGTAGGTCTTCCATGCCCACAATTCCAAAGGGCTCACAGTTCGCCTGTGCCTTAATCCACCGCCGCCCGCCACATGGCACAAGCGGGGTCTCAGAAGAGTTACAGCGAGATGATGGAGCTGCAGGCCAGCCGGGGCTGGGTGCCTCAGGACTCACCCACAGCCTTCGCAGTAACTGGCTGACGCCCACCGCCTTCTCAATGATTGGCCGCTGGAGGTAGGCGGGATTTCCGGGCACGGCTTCTGGCGTCCTTCTCTCTCAGGGTAGCTCCAGGTGTCCTTCCCGCAGCTGGCCCTGTGGTGTTCCGAAGCTGGATACATACGGCCTGAGGGCCAGGCGAACCTCAGGCTCTTTGTCCTAATAAAAAGCGCAGGTATTTTCTGTTTCTCTGGACAGCTGGGTCTCTCGGCAAGAATAGAAAGCAAAGGTTTGGGATTTTGTCTATAAAAGGGGATGGGTTTTCTATGTGTGGGTGTTGAATTACGGGAGGAGTCAGTGGGGAAAGAACTCCTTAGTGCTATTAAGAGACTCACTTTCGTTAAACTCATTGATTTTTCCTGAGGATTCTACATTTAACTGCCTAATATGTCCGACTAGTTGTGGGAGATGGTGCTAAGGCGCCACTGTTTTCGTGTGCACTTTTTATTAAAGCGGGTTTTCTCTGTGAATGTGGTCATAATTCAGAATACAGGCAATACACTTAACCACTGCGATTAAAAAGTCACACTTTTAGTTAGCACATGTGGCGTGTCTGATTTGCTTGGATGAAATTTGACATAAATTGTGTTACTTTAGTGTATGTAGAAATATGGGGGCCATAAATAATCTCAGTTTCAGTTTGCCTCTGTAAAGCCTGTAATTGTCTCCTTCGTTGTATGACAGTATTTGAAACATGTTTCATGTATCTTTGGCACCGTAAATAATTTAAACCGAATAATCGGTGGGTGTAATCGAGATAAATGGAGTTAGATAGCCTAAAACGGGAACAACATAGATGAGCTTAAGTTATTCTGTTAACCTGGCACACTGACTTACTCGTGTAATCCTAGCATTTTGGGAAGTGGAGGTCAGAGGATGGCTTGAGGTGAGGAGTTTGAGACCAGCCTGGGTGACATAATGGACTCCTTTATTGGTATTTTCGCATCAGGGACTGGTTTAGTGAAAGACAATTTTTCCTCAGACAAGGGTTGCACAGGGGTAGAAGGCGGCGAGGTGGACAGGTTTGGGAGTGGGGGCTGGCGGCAGGTACCCGAGGGGCACGTGGTAGGGCGGGTCTTCCGGTAGGAGCAATGTGACAGAGGACAGGTGGGGCAGTGGGGCTGCCACGGGGACAGGGAGGGCCAGCGAGGGAGTAGGGAGGATGGTTTCTGGATAGAACTGTACCACCTCAGGTCATCCTCAGGCGTTACATTCTCCACAAACAGGTATTACATGTCATCCTGTGGCATCACATTCAGGCCACAGATAGGTACGGGTTGAAGGCTAGGGTTTTAGAATCTGTGACCTATTGTATATTTCAAATCACTAGAAGATTGTAAAATATTTAAAATATTCTCCCCCTAGAACATTTTAAGTAGCTTGATTTAATCTTTTATCCAAATATCATGCTGAGTGTGGTGATTCACCCTTGAAATCCCATCACTTTGGTAGGCCCAAGCCGGCAGAACACTTGAGCCCAGGATTTGGAGACTACCTTGGGCAATATGGGGAAACCCTTGTTTATTTTTAAAAACACAAAAAATTGCCCAGCTGTGGTAGAAAGCCCCTGTAGTACTAGCAACTTCGGAAGCTGAGATGTGGGAAGATCAGTTGGGCTGGGTGGAGGAGGCTGCAGTGAACAGTGCACTTTGGCAACAGGAGACACACATCTCAAGAAAGAAAATATGCAAAACATCACACTGTACCTCATAAATAGACAGTTTTCAAATAAAATTATTTAAATGAAGGCATTCTTCATATTGCAACTTAGGAAAATTATGATAGCTTTTCTTATCTAATTTTTAGAAATGAGATTCTGTCAGTTCATACTAAAATGCAGCATTTGTGTGTGAAGTTAGTGCCCCTTTGCTCTGAGTGTTACAAATTTTACATATTTAAAGTAAGAAGTAATAAAAAGATGTCAGCCTCAGGAAGGGAATTTTACTTGGATTTTCAGCACAGTTTGTAATAAAATTTTATCTTTTTAGCTTATTTATATCTAAATATAGATAATTTTTTACCATTTACAGCACAATGGTAGAGGCAGATCATCCTGGCAAGCTTTTCATTTGTGGCCTCAATAGAGAGACCAATGAGAAGATGCTTAAAGCAGTGTTTGGGAAATATGGTCCCATATCAGAAGGTAACTCTTAAAACCGTGTGTGTGTGTGTGTGTGTGTGTGTGTGTGTGTTTATGTGTATTTTCACATGTATATTTCAGTATGTATGTTTAAAATATGTATGTTATATATATATATGTTTTGAAAAAATATATTTTTTCAAAGTTCATTGTATACCTACATGAAAATGCCTTATGAGTTTTAAACTCTTATTTTGTAGTATCTGTTTGATATTTGGAAAATTCTCATAGTACTAGGTTAAGGCTCTATGGAAAGGATAACCTACTACTTAGAAAGGAAAATGAGGAAAAGTAAATGTGCTGTGGAGTTCAGAAAGAAACTGGAATAAACTAGACTGACTGTAGGGGTGACTGAGTATTAAGAACCATAATAATGATGTGAAATGCAATTATTTTTTAGTTTGATGTAACTTTTAGATGGTTAGTACCTTGATGAGTCCATTACATGAATGTAAAATGTTTTCATATATTTTAGTTCTTTTGATAAAGGATCGAACCAGCAAATCCAGAGGCTTTGCCTTTATTACTTTTGAGAACCCTGCAGATGCTAAGAATGCTGCCAAAGATATGAATGGAAAGGTAAGAGTCCCTTATTAATAATATTCTAACTGTGTTCTTCAATTAACAATATTTCTAGGTCTTTTTAATATTACTAAACTTTTGAAGATAGTAGAATGACATATGAAGCCATCCTCTTTTTTGTGCCTTATACGTGCAAGTGTAGTT
This sequence comes from Homo sapiens, assembly GCF_000001405.40. Lineage (NCBI taxonomy): Eukaryota > Metazoa > Chordata > Mammalia > Primates > Hominidae > Homo > Homo sapiens. Next base: position 9,322,037 of record NC_000024.10, on the reverse strand, counting down.
GGAAGGGTATTGGAATTAACATTATATAAATTAATATTTGGTAACCTTTTTCTATGTTTGTATTTCGATATGAGTGCAAATAGATTTTAAAAGGTTTTGATGAGCTTTAAAACTTATAAGGAACCCTCATGTAAATGAAATTAATAAGTCAATATTTATTAAATGCTATTAATTGAAGTACTTCCAATTCATGGAAATTCTTTTAGAGCGTAGACAAACTGTGGATAGACATCTAGACAGACTCACAAGAAGGAAAGACTCCTTCCTTCTTGAAGAATATATTTTATGAAAATATATTCTTGCAAAAGTATATTTAAATAAGACCTTTACATTTACGGAAAGGGTAAGTAGTTGAAAAGAGAAAATAATATGAGAACATTGAAGTCAGATAGCAGAAGAAGTAACTGGCATTTTTGCTCCATGCTTGCTTTTTCTCCTAAGGACATTTCTTTCCTGTCACCAGAGTGATTTATGTAACATGAATAGCTAATTACTCATTTCCCCAGTGTGTTTGAGGACTTGTTTTGATTCAACCAATGGTCTCTTGTCCTGTTGAGTCTTAAATCTAGAGATTGTGTGTTTACTAAAGCTTTAAACTTTTATGTAATTATATTAATTATTGAATTCCTTTACATTGTAGTCAAGAGCATTCCATTCTGTGCTCTTTAGTGCTTTTTTGCTTTGTAACATTATCCCAATCATGCCGGGCATGGTGGCTCACGGATGTAATCCCAGCACTTTGGGTGGCCAAGGCAGGCAGATCACGAGGTCAGGAGAAAGAAACCATAATGGCCAACATGGTGAAACCCTGTCTCTACTAAAACACACACACAAAAAAATTAGCTGCGTCTGGTTGTGTGTGCCTATAGTTCCAGCTACTCAGTAGGCTGAGGCAGGGGAATCAGTTAAACCCAAGGAGGCAGAGGTGGCAGTGAGCCGAGATCACGCTGATGCACTCCAGCCTGGCAACAGAGCAAGAATCCGTCTCAAAAAAATAAAAAATAAATAAAATAAATAAACAACATTATCCCAATCTGTTTTTAGCTCCTGTTAGTCTTCATGCTATCCCCAAAGTGCTGTTTTAGACTTGTTGAGAATTATCCTTCCCTGTGTATGTCTCATAAATAAAATTTATGCTTCAAAAACCACTTAGATTTCATATTTTCTTTCTCATTGCATATTGTAGGTATTTTGTACTCACTGTACTATGTATTAATCTATTGAATGTGAAATTGTATGTAGTGCATATTTAAGTCTTGCTAGTTGCTTTTCTTTCTGTTACATCTAGCACAGTTCCTGGCACATAGCAGAAAGTACATTTTTATTCACCCTCATAAATTAGTATTTCAAGCTGTGGTAGAAACCGAGAGTTGCTTTTGGTTCATGGCTTTGTGGTAGGTATGGAGATAATTTTGACTTCTGTATAGTAATCTATGATAATTTCTTTGTTCCCTCTAGTTTTCAAGCAAAAGAGCAGCTAATTTGTGTAAAGTTTTTGTTCGTTTGTTTGTTTTTTAAGATGGAGACTCACTGTGTGCCCTAGGCTGGATTGCAGTGGGGCCATCTTGGCTTACTGCAACATCCGCCTCCCGGGTTCAAGCGATTCTCCTGCCTCAGCCTCCCAGTACCAGGGGCTACAGAGGCGCGCCACAACGCCCAGCTAATTTTGTACTTTGAGTAGGGATGGGGTTTCTCCCTGTTGGCCAGGATGAGCTCTATCTCTTCACCTCATGATCCACCTGCCTTGGCCTCCCAAAGTGTTGGGATTACAGGTGTGAGCCACCGTGCCCAGCCAACATTATTTCTAAGTTAGTTCATCTCACATATTTTAGTGTGTTAAAATAAATATGAATATTGTATGCACATTAATGTTAAGATGGCCAATAAAGGAAGTTCTTCGAGTTTTCAGGGGGAATTAACAGTTAAGGAATTTTAGCTGACTTCAGAACACTGGGAAGGAAGCAGCCATGGGCAAATCTGGGGAAAATATTTTGATCCCAGAAATAACAAAAGAAGTGTCAAGGTAGGAACAACTGGCGATGTGGCTGCAAGGGGTCTTGTCAGGGATTTAAGTCCTTCCTCCAAATAACAAAAGCCATGTAATTTGTAAATCACATTATTAGCTGAACTGTTTTCAAAAATTGCTATGGCCTGTAGAGAAGATTACAGTGAAAAATGTTATTATGAAATTAATTAGGATATTTAAGCATTTCTGAGAAACTACCTGAAGTACTATATTAAGATTCGTTTTTTAGGGGCACGTGTAAGGCAATATAAGAAATGAGTAAGGCAAGAAAACTTAATGAGATCAAACAAGGATCACATTTACAGAAACATTTTTAGAGTCAATATAGAATTGTAAATCATATGGGGACATTTTATGTAAGTGTTAGCAAATCCAACAAGAAACAGCTCATAGTGACTAATGTGACTAATCACTCTGAAAAAGTAAGCTCACTTTTTAAAATGACACAAGTTTCGTTGGGACACTGCAACTTTCAAATCAGTGATGTGAATACAAAGATGAAGTGGATTATATATTGTAAAAAACAGATGTTCCACATTCTTCCATAGAATGTGTGATGGGTCAATCTTTTTTTTTATGTTTGAGTTTTTTTTTTTTAATAATGGAGGAGTTTTCAAGGAATTTGAATAATAGAATTTGTGTTTGGTCCCTTAATGGAAGGCATGTGCTCAGTAACTATCTCAAATTTGGCATTGTGAAAGATGTGTTCATTTTAGGAGAAAAAAAAGTTTCCTTTTGGGAGAAAATACCTCGAATTGAACTATGGTTGATGTAAAAATGTTTGTAAAATGCGCTTACGTTAAATGTGCCATTGTTATTGATAGTACCCTTAATACTTCTAGTCTTTGGATGGAAAAGCAATAAAAGTAGAACAAGCCAAGAAACCATCTTTTCAAAGTGGTGGTAGGTGAAGACCACCAGCTTCTTTGAGAAACAGAAGCCCTTCAGGAAGTCTGAGATCTGCAAGAGGAAGCAGTGGAGGAACAGGAGGGTGGCTTCCCTCACATGAAGGACACCTGGGTAATGTTTTAAAATATAAAGATGGAACCATAGGACTGAAAGAAAATAAGTTTGAAGATATCGAAATTTCTCAATTTTTTTATTTCCTGTATGAAGAGAAAATTAGCTTATTGATAATAAGCAAAATTATTTCTAAGTACTAAAGGTGTATTATAAGAATGATTGAATTAATACATAAATTTGTTTTAAAATTACAATAAGTTTGCACTGAAGTAACACACATTTCAAACTGAGTTGTGTTTATGAATGCTGATTACCTGTACTCAACCGGTTTTCTGCAGAACTCATTTATATTCATTATACTTTAGAGTTTTCTGCTTTAGGGCCCAGAACTTCGTGTCAGTTGTATTATCAAAGTATGATGTCATATTTAAAATTTTCCAACAGGAAAAAGTAACTCAATACTTAAGACTGATTTTGCAGTATTTGTTTTCTTGTGTATACATGTGCGAACATCTATGCAAAGGTATTGCTTTGTAATTTTGATACAGAGAGTTTGTACATTGGCCTGCCATAAAGCATTTTCAATTTAAGAAATGTAGAACTTTAATTTCTGAAAAGAGTCTGTGACTGGAAATGTCTAAAAACCACTGCTTCACAGATATGTATGTATCTTTCTTTGCTGGAGGCTGAGTCACTGAAAATGATATTTATGAGTGATTTACTTAATAGAAATGAGGGGTCTATGTTTACATATAAAAGAAAAACAAACCATATATTTAAAAAAAAAGAAAAAAGACTATTGGATGGGCTGTGCGAGGTGGCTCACGCCTGTCACCTCAGCACCTGGGGAGTACAGGGCAGGTGGACCACGAGGTCAGGAGTTCCAGACCAGCCTGGCCAACATGGTGAAACCCTGTCTCTCCTAAAGATACAAAAAAATTTGCCTGGGCGTGGTGGCATGCACCTGTAATACCAGCTACTCAGGAGGCTGAGGCAGGAGAATCACAGGAACCTGGGAGGCACAAGCTGCAGTGAGCCAAGGTTATGCCATGGCACTCCAGCCTGCGTGATAGGGCAACAGTCCATCTGAATAAATAAATAAATAAACCTGTTGGTTAACTTGTATTATCTATTAACCAACCTTCAAAACTCTAACAATTAACTTGGAGTTTTAATAACCAGACATGTAGTTTATTGGAGATTTTTTTCAAGTTGAAATTGCAGTGTTTGCTCCATTTTAAGATGCATAGCTTCGTGGCTATTTTGTCTCCACTGATCTTGAGGGTGAGGTTCAATTATACTCTGCCACGGACGAGAATGTATATATAAATTCTAACCCGTAACACCACCTGGCAGTTGGCATATATCTACATTTTTGTAGATGTATAAAAATATTTTTATATTACCGAATATGCAGTTCCTAAAGACTGTTAAAATTCAGCATAGTCTAATCTGAAAGTCAGTGTCTCATAAGGGAATTTTAAGAATTCTATATTGTGTTAACAAATTTTAGAGACAATGTATTTTCCTGATATGTCACTTCTTGGTATTGGAAATATTTGAGTTTCTTTGAATGGAAATTAGTTTATGATGTGCTTTGAAAATTTTTCCTCATTACAGAATGATATAAGCAGTCATTTATCACTTTTCTTTTAATATTTTTATGCATATTATATTTAGATATTTCAGTGATAGATTTGTGCCCCCGTTCACTCCCCATTTTCCCACATCTCTCTCTCATACCAATATATTATGATACTTGAGTTTCTTTCTAGATTTTCTAAATGAACTTTTATTGCTTGAAGTGTACTAATACCATGTAGGAATGCTAATTTTATTAGTTTAGACAAAATGTGAATTAGTTATAAAATGTAGAAAATATTTGTAAACAACTAAAACTTAGCCATTTAAGAAACAGTGATGTTAGTTAACTAAAAGGATTTTGTTTGAAATACAGATGATGGTGGATACACTCCTGATCTCAAGATGAGTTATTCTAGGGGACTCATTCCAGTTAAAAGACGTCCATCTTCAAGAAGTGGAGGTCCTCCTCCTAAAAAATCTGCTCCTTCTGCTGTGGCAAGAAGCAATAGTTGGATGGGAAGCCAAGGTAAATGCTACCTGACAGAAAGACCGTAGTTTTTGTATGACTAAAAATGAGCTATTTTCCCTGAATGGTTAGCTTTAAGTTCATTGAACAAAAGAGAAGTGACACATACGTGAGCATAATTACTGATTGATAGTTTTTATTATAGTTTCTATCTCACTAGGTACATTTCAGATTTATATTGAAGAAATACTTGAGCTTCTCATTGCAGATCAAAGAAGTGATTAGAGTGAGGCCAACATTCCTTTTAATCCTGTGTTTGCTAGAAAATTCCCCTTAATTTTTCTAAAAGTTCCTAGCAGTATTCTTTGATGGTAGGCTTCTTGATCTAATTAATTCTTCCATTTCCTAGGTCCCCTGGTGTCCCATTCTAAAAATTGCTTGTTCAGTGACTTTGCTGGGTTGGAGTCTTGCTCTTACTAGGTGAGAGTGCACTATGTGAGATGACGGCTTACTATAGCCTCAAATTTGTGAGATGACGGCTTACTATAGCCTCAAATTTGTGAGATGACGGCTTACTATAGCCTCAAATTCCTGGGCTCAAGCAATTCTGCTGTTTCAGCCTCCCGAGTTTCTGCAACTACAGGCATGCAGCACCACACCTAGGTACATTTTTTTCCTATGTTTTTGTAGAGAGAGGATCTGACTGCATTGTCAAAACTGATGTTAAAGCCCGGGGCTCAAGCGGTCCACCTGCCTCAGCCTTCCACACTCACTCACAGTGTGAGCCGCTAAGCCTGGCCATCCAACTTCTGAGTCCTCAGTAATGCGTATGTGCAAGGCATACTCACTGCTTGCATGAAGATTCAAAAGAACTACAAGAGCATTTAGCAGACAAGGAGTCATTGGGCTTAAATATGATTTAAAAATAAATTTAAGCCTTGAAAGGTAGACACGTAGGAGTCCAAAATGCTTAAATTAAGTGGGTATCACAGAAATGCAGAGTTGTGAAATATAGGTGTATGTAAATCAGTAATTGAGATTGTACCGGGATGTTTAAACATTAACACAAGATCCTTAGTGTAAGATTTGAAATTATTTGAGGAGAGAATTTAGAACTAAGCAACATGAGGTGAGCAGTAGGATTGAATGCAAGTAATACTCTTGAGAAAGAATTGTAAGACTGCAGACTGAACAGAAGAAAATAAGACAATAAATAAAAGTTCTTAGGAAGGAAGTTTAAGCAGAGCAAATTAAAATTCTTTCTTAGTCCTCCATCCGAATATGGAGGAAGTTAAAAACTGCTGTTTTCAATTTTACATTTCATACGTAGAGTATCGGTGAAGAGAGGTATTTATTGGCTTCAGGATACCCAAGCCAACACATTTCCATTGGAAAATTAGCCAGTGAACGTATCATATGTGAAACACTGACCTCTAAGGAATAGCAAGTGAAGAATATATTGAAGGAGAAACTTTCTATTTTGAAATAGCAACAATGTTGTAATGACCCCTTGCATAGCATTGCTTTCTTTGCAGTAAAAGCAAATCTTGACCATCATTAGAAAATCTTCACTAATACATTTTAATTTGTCAACATTTAAGATAGAGCCAACCAGTTAGAGATAAAGAACTTTTATGTAAACATTTAGCATATAGTCATTTAAAGGTAGCTGTATTTATATGTGTGTGAGATGGACTGAATGATATTGGAAAATTCACCATCTTTGGCTGAGAAAGGACAATGTATGTAAACTTTAAAATCAGTGAAGAGTTTGATGGTTTTACATGTTTTCCCTGTGTCACTCACAGTCATCAGTAATTTATATGAAAAAGAAAATAATAACTAAGTAGATATTAACCATTACAAATGAACTTTTACCTAAGAATTAATGTTTGCCTTCAGCTTCATTAGAAGAACTGGCCTTGTGGGAGCCATGGGATTCTCCAAAGCCATAAGAAGTATTCACAGTGTCATGAGTGTCTAGTAATTTAGGAAACAAAGAATGGAGTCATAGAAAAAATAATTTTAAAAAGTAGTTTGAGAGAAGAGAAAATAGCGTTTCAGATTTGGTGTTCTCTACATAATGTTCCATCATTTTAATGTTAAAGGTCCTATGTCACAAAGAAGAGAGAGATATGGAGTTCCTCCATGCAGAGTGACAATCTCTTCCTGGAGAAATGATCATATATCACCAAGAGATGATGGTTATGCAACAAAGGATGGGTAAAGGAAAAATTAAAAAACACAGTTGATTTTTTTTTTGTTGTGGTGATGAAATTCACATAACAAAATTAAATATTATAAGGTGAACAGTTAAGTGGTGTTTAATACATTCTGTGCCATACAACAACTACCTCCATCGAGTTCCAAAACGTTTTCACCACTCCAAATTAAAACTCCAACTACCAGTTAAGCAGTCCCTTCCATTTTCTCCCTTTCCTCAGCTGCTAGCAAACACCAGTCAGTGTTCTGCCTCTGAACTTACCTGTTGTGGGTATTTAATGTTAATGTGCTCAAACACTACATGACTTTTTGTATTTGTCTCCTCTCCTTTTGCATGATGTCCTGAAGGTTCATTTACATCATAGCACTTCACTCCCTCCAGAAGCTATTAACCCATTATTTTATCTGGGTTGTTTCCACCCGAGTATTTCTACGCACCAATATTTGTTTGAGTATGCTTATTCGGTTCTGGGTGTATATGAGTGGAATTGCATGGTCCTATGATAATTATGTTTGTTTTCTTGAGGAACCACCACATTTCTCCATAGTAGCTGCATCATTTTCCGTTCCAACTAGCATTGTATCAGCATTCCAGTTTATCTACATCCTCTAGAACACTTGTTATTTCCTGCTTTTTGAAATTTATTGCCATTCAACTGTGTGTGTGAAATATGATATCTCATTTTGGATTTGAAATGCATTTTCTGCACCCATTAACTCATCATGCACATGTATCCTGGAACTTAAAGTATAATAAAACAAAAAGAAATGCATTTTTTGAATCACTGAATATGAGTATCTGTCCCATGTGCTTTTTGGGTATTTGCCGATTTTATTTGGAGAAATATCTGTTTAGATGTTTGGCCTTTTAATTTTGTTTAAGTTGTAAGTTAGTCATATATTGGATACTAGAAGTTGAAAATTTAAAATTTGTTGCTTAAACTTATGCATACAGAAATGATCGAAGTTCCCGAGAAACTAGGGATTATGCTCCACCATCTAGAGGCTACGCATACCGTGATTATGGTCATTCTCGTCGGCATGAACATTATTCTAGAGGATATAGGTACTGTAACTGTTTCTGGATTTGTCAAATAGATTTCTTAAATTGTTCATTCCAACTAACGTATCAGGGCTCCAATTTATCTACATCCTCTCAAACACTTGTTATTTCCTGCTTTTGAAAATTTATTGCCTTTCCAGTGTGTGTGAAATATGATATCTCATTTTGGATTTGAAATGCATTTTCTGTACCCATTAACTCATCATGCATGTGTACCCTAGAACTTAAAGTATAATAAAAAAAAGAAATGGATTTTCTGAATCATTGAATATGAGTATCTGTCCCATGTGCTTTTTGGCCATTTGCCTATTTTATTTGGAGAAATAGCTATTTAGATGTTTGGCCTTTTAATTTTAAGTTGTAAGTTAGTCATATATTGGATAGTAGAAGGTGAAAATTTAAAATTTGTTGCCTAAACTTATGCACACAAAAATCATCCAAGTTCCCGAGAAACTAGGGATTATGCTCCACCATCTAGAGGCTATGCATACCGTGATTATGGTCATTCTAGTCAGGATGAACATTCCTCTAGAGTATATAGATACTGTAACTTTTTCTGGATTTGTCAAATAGATTTCTTAAATTGTTCATTCCAACTAACATTGTATCAGGGCTCCAGTTTATCTACATCCTCTCAAACACTTGTTATTTCCTCCCTTTTAAAATTTATTGCCATTCCAGTGTGTGTGTGAAATATGATATCTCAGTTTGGATTTGAAATGCATTTTCTGCACCCATTAACTCATCATGCACATGTGCCCTAGAACTTCAAGTATAATAGAAAAAAGAAATGCATTTTCTGAATCACTGAATTTGAGTATCTGTCCCATGTGCTTTTTGGCCATTTGCCTATTTTATTTGGAGAAATATCTATTTAGATGTTTGGACTTTTCATTTTGTTTAAGTTGTAAGTTAGTCGTATATTGGTTACTAGAAGTTGAAAATTTAAAATTTGTTGCTTAAACTTATGTACACAGAAATCATCCAAGTTCCCGAGAAACTAGGGATTATGCTCCATTATCTGGAGACTATGCATACTGTGATTATGGTCATTCTAGTCCGCATGAACATTCCACTAGAGGATATAGGTACTGTAACTTTTTCTGGATTTGTCAAACAGATTGCTTAAGTTGTTCATGCCAACTAACATTGTATCAGGGCTCCAATTTATCTGCATCCTCTCAAACACTTGTTATTTCCTGCTTCTTAAAATTTATTGCCCTTCCAGTGTGTGTGTGAAATATGATATCTCATTTTGGATTTGAAATGCATTTTATGTACCCATTAACTCATCATGCACATGTACCCTAGAACTTCAAGTATAATAAAAAAAATTTATTGCCCTTCCAATGTGTGTGTGTGAAGTATGGAAGCTCCTGTTGGATTTGAAATGCATTTTCTGAATCATTCATTATGAGTATCTGTTTCATGTGCTTTTTGGGCATTTGGGCATTTTGGGCATTTGGACTCTTTGGGCATTTTTTTAGATGTTTGGCAATTTAATTGTGTTTAAGTTGTAATTTAGTTATGTTTTGGATACTGGAAGTTGAAAATTTAAAATTTGTTGCTTAAACTTGTGCACACAGAAATCATCAAAGTTCCCGAGAAACCAGGGATTATGCTCCACCACCTAGAGACTATGCATACCGTGATTATGGTCATCCTAGTTGGGATGAACATTCCTCTAGAGGATATAGGTACTATCATGTTATCTGGATTTACCAAATAGATTTCTTAAATTGTTCATTCTAACATTAAAAATGTTTTTTTTTTTCAATTTAGTTACCATGATGGCTACGGTGAGGCCCGTGGTAGAGATCATTCTGAACATCTAAGTGGAAGTTCTTATAGAGATGCATTTCAGAGATACGGTAAGGGTCCAGGATGGATTTGTAAATTACAGAATTTTATGTAATAGACCAGATTGTTATTTTAAGGAAATTCTAAGGAAAATTATAAAGGACATATGCAACATGTTTAAATATTGAGTATTCTTAACAGTATAAAGATAGGGAATGTTATGAAGGCGAGAACTTCAGTTCACGTTAAGAAAATGTGACTCCACATTTACTTTAGAATTAAGTTTGTTAAGCTTCAGAATACTACTCTTATACTTCTTTTAAATGAAACCTTCTGACTGTTGAAGACTTGATTAATGTCCTGTCAACAAAGGCAGAAGAAAGCAGATATTTCCAAATAGTACTTTAACTAATTCATGCTTTAATGATAGCAGTAAAAATGTTCAAAGGTAGTCCAACATATTATTTTGTCAACCATGCAGGGACCTCTCATGGTGCACCACCTGCACGAGGGCCTCAGATGTCTTATGGCGGAAGCACATGCCATGATTATAATAATACTCGAGATAGATATGGCAGAAGTTGGGAGAGTTACTCCAGGAGCTGTGGTGATTTTCATTATTGTGATCATGAGTAGGTTTGCAGAAAAGACCAAAGGAATCTGCCTTCTCTGGGTAGGGTGCTCCCTGCTCCTCGTGAAGCATATGGTAGCTCAAGTTATGTGGCATCTACAGTAGATGGTGGTGAAAGTTGATCTGAAAAAGGAGACTGAAGCAGATATTAAAGCATGGGTTCAAAATAATAGTTATTGCATACCAAACCTTGTTTGCAAATCAAAAATTGAAATGTTATTTCTGCTGCATTACCTGCATATTACTAAAAGAAACATATTGGTTTTGTGGAGAGAGGTAGATACTAACTTCCTCCATGAATTTTCTGAGGTATTCAAAGGAAAAGGAATTGTTTTCAAAGTAATTTCATACTTGTTGATGCTATTTGAAAAGTGTTTAGATGTAATATCTACCTTAAAATTTTCACAATAAGATTTTACATGTATTTCAAAATGCCTGGTGTTATTGGTTAGCCGCACATGCTTAAAGCAAATTCAATAGGAGAGAAAATTGTGTAGTTTGTTGTACATTTTCCTTTGTTTCTTTGAACATAGATACAAAATTAGGCATACGTTATGCCTCCCTTGCAAACTGTTCAAGTTTTCTAATATGAATGGAAACACTTTAAACCTCATACTTTGGGGAAAGTGAAGTGTGTAAAATATAAACAACAGCATAAAGTTTCAGACGGGATTGCTGAAAGTTTTAAGAAATCATGGAATGATAAAAATATTTGGACCTAAATAACTAAATCAATTATTTTTCCTGATTTTGCAAACTAAAGAAATGAAATACATCAAGTTCCAGAAGTTTTACAGTCCTTAGTTATTAACAATTGACAGACTAATCTGCAAGGAGGAAGTATTTTCTTGAAAAATTTTGACAAGATCATCAATTTTTATAGGGTAAGGGTACGAATAATTTTAAAGGGAGAAGTTGCCAACTTTGATATTCAAGTGAGGTATTCATGTTATGAAGTTGTGTTTTCATTCACCTGTAGCATTGTAAGGATGAAGTGAAAAGATAAATCTCCCTAGTCTTGTGTATCTTACTGTCCAGGTGTGGTGGCTCAGGTCTTTAATTCTAACACTTGGGGAGGCCGTGGCTTGCAGATCACTTTAGGACAGGAGTTGAAGACCAGGCTGGCCAACACCATGAAACCCCATCTCTACCAAAAATACAAAAATTAGCCAGGCATGGTGGTGCCTGCCTGTAGTATGTTACAGTTAATTGGGAGGCTCAGGCAGGAGAATCATTTGAACTTGGGAGCCTGATGCTGCAGTGAGCCGATATTGCACCATGCACCCTAGCCTGGGTGACAGAGTGTGACTCCAAACCAAAAATAATTATATAAATCAACAAATATATACATAATAAATAGGGTATCCTTCAGTTCAAGCACTTATCAATTCTTTTTTCTTTTTTAGAGACAAGGTCTCACTCTGTTGTCCAGCCTAGACTGCAGTGGCACCATCGTAGCTCACTGCAGCCTTGGACACGGGGTTCAAATGTGCCAGACTTCCATTTCAGCCTCCCAAGTAGCTGGAATTACAGACACACACCAACCACCATGCCCAGCTTTTGTGTGTGTGTGGTAGGGACAATGCTTTGGATATATTGTTCAGGCTGGTCTCAAACTCCCAGGCTGAAATGATCCTCCTTCCCTGGCTTCCCAAAGTGTTGTGATTATAGCTGTGAGCCACTGAGTCTGGCATATCTTTTCTTGGTATGAGCAACATTCCACCTCACTGAGTCTGGTATATCTTTTCTTGGTACGAGCGACATTCCACCTTCGCTCTATTAATTATTTTGAGATGTACAATAAATCATTATTAAGTGTAGTCATCCTGTGCCACTGAACACTAGATATTATTCCTTCTAAGCAAGTATAATTTAACCCACCCCCATCCCCTCTTTGATCCCTCGCTTACCAGTTCACATTACTTGTATCAAAATATCACATGTATGCCAAAAGTATCTACAACTGTTACATACAAATTTTCATTCCCTCCCTCCCTCCCTTCCTTTCTTCATTCCTGTGTTTCTTTCTTTTTTTCTTTATATCTTTTTATCTCATTTAATTTTTTTAAGACAGAATCCTGCTCTGTCACCTAGGCTGGAGTGCAGTGGCGTGATCTCAGCTCACTGCTCCCTCCCTGTCCTGGGTTCAAGCAGTTGTCCAGTCACACCCTTCTAAGCAGCTGCAACTGCAATCATATGACACCAATCCTGTATGTATGTATGTGTATATATATCTATATGTTTTTTGTATTTTCGGTAGAGACCAGGTTTCACAATGTTTGCTCAGGCTGGTCTTGAACTCCTGTCATCTAGTGATCCACCCACCTCATCCTCTGAAAATGCTGGGATCCAGGCATGAGCCACAATGCCCACCCAGTTTTATGCATTTCTCTTTTCAGTGATCTCTCCTATTTTATTATTTTATTCTCTTTTTCTTTCTGAGACAGAGTCTCGCTCTGCTGCCCAGGCTAGAGCACAGTGGTGTGATCTCACTTTACTGGAAACTCCATCACCAGGTTCAATGGATTCTCCTGCATCAGCCTTCCAAGTAGCTGGGATAACATCCATGAGCCACCAAGCTTGGCTAGCTTTGGTATGATACTAGACATGGCATCTTGCCATGTCTAATTTCGTATCTGTTTTAAAGCTCAGTTTATAAACAATACTGACTTCCTGGAATGTTTTTTGTTTACAAAACAACTATAGTACTATTATTTAGCATCCTCAGATAAAATATCGTAACACACAAAACACACACACAGACAAAGACACAGTCAGTGATCAAAAAATCAGCATAGGCCATGACCTAAAATGAAAGGTGAACTGCTGCAGTTACCTAGAATTAAACCAGACTAGAGTTGACCCTTACCCTGCCGAGAGATGTGAACAGAGGCTTTCAAACATCTCTATCAGGTGTATGTTAGATTATTCTTCAGCCATAGCAAAGGGGCATTAAAGATCTGTTGTGCTTAGAAGAATCTTGATGATTTGACTTTTCCAGGTTATTATTATTCATGATGTTAGCCTTTACAGCTCTCTGCAATTAAATGAGTAGACAACTCAGTTTTTCTAGGAGTCTAAAGTGCTTTTCAGAATTGTCTAAAACTTAGTGGCTTAAACAATAATTATAATTTACTAACTGTCAGTCTCTGCAATCGCCCTCAGTCTCTCAGCCAAATGAATATGGTTCAGGGGCACTCAGGAGGTTGCAATCTAGTGATGGCCAAGGATGGGGACGTTGGCGGGTGTCTTCCCATCTCCCTGGTGCCATGGCTAGCGTGACTCAAATAGCAGGGGCTGGACTGCTGAGATCCTCAGACATCTTTTTCTATTTCTTTGAGTCTCTCCATTGGATGTCCCTTCTGTGTAGTGTTATCAGGGTGTTAGACTTCGTGGTGTACTGGTCGGGGGCTCCTAAGGGGGATGAGAGCAGGAGACTTGGGCAGAGCTGTGTCACCTTTTCTAAACTAGGCCAGAGGTGGTCCAGTATCCCGAAAATGCTTGCACTGTTTTCTATTCATTACAAGCAAGTACTGTGTTCAGTCCCATCAGGAATATTTTCAAATGGGTTTGAGAAGAATTTCAAAGTGTGTTTTAAACCACTACAGTGGTCATGCCTAATAATTACCTATTTTTACAAGTGCTCTGTGGGTTTTTCCCAAAATCATAGCAGATACAGACTTTTAAACTTGAAACCTATGTATCATAGCTCTGAACATTTCGCTATATGTTAAAATAACTCTTGAGCAAAAATTGAATTTGAAATGACAGTTATAAATAAAATACACGAGATAAAGTCATAAATATATTGATGAAATGCTTATAAAGAGATCAGCCTTAAAATTATCACTAGGTCTAATGTGCCACTATTTTACTATTTCTATGGATATTACTTGGATAAGAGGACAAGGACTCAGGGGTCTGCTGGTCAGTCTCTGCACCTTGAAACAGCAATTGGGGCACCAGGAGTAGCATTTCCAGCTAACACCATGTGGTGAGGACAAGGAATCCATTCAGGTAAAGGAGGGTGTGAGCATATTGTGATCTGGAAGAGAGGTACACCTGGTATGGCAACCAGGATCAAGTTCCCCAGCACACAATGAAATCCCCAATGAAATCCCCCATGCCCAGCTGTGGCAGAGTGAATCCCTCAGCTGGTGCTGGGCTTCCAGGTGTGTGTTCTGAAAGCAGCTGCCTGGGCTGAGAAGGATCTCCTCATTCCCTTGCCATGTGGGAGGGTGAGGCTTGTGGCCCCCGCTCTGTCTGTTCCCACTCTTTCCCTCCCCATTATCCCACTGCTGGGTAAGGTGGCAGGACCCTGGAATGTAGAAGGGCCCTGGATTGTTGACAGTGCCTGTGGGTGGCCATGTACTAGGAGGAGAGTCCCCACTGAGCCTCCCACGAGCTTGGAGGCGGGGAAGGAACAGTCCTGGGGCACTGGCTGTTTCAGAGTCCAGGGGTCTGTCCCAGAGAAGGCCAGGGGGAGGTTGTAAGCCTGTGGATCTGCAATCTAGGTGGAAGACCTGTATCTGCCATGGCTGACATCATCAGGGCATGACACTCACTGGGTGGAGAGCAGGGCTTATGCATTTTACCCCTGTCCTGAAGAGACCCTGCATGCCTGGTTCTCCTGGGAACAGTGATCCTAGGGACCCCCCAGTCTGGGTCCACTCATGACCATAAGCTTAGGATCTTGTGTGCCTTGCTTCCTGTCTGCCCAGGTGAGGCATCCTGGAGAGGGTGCATGGGGCAAAGCTCGTGTGCGCACACCCAGCACTGGGACGGGGTGTCACCGGCCAGTTAGGCTCTCCTGGCCCTCTCCTGAGCTCCCACCTGGCTAAGTGGTAGGTGTCCCATCTACCTGAACCCACAGCCCAGGTTTCTCTTCCACCTACCGACCCATGCCCTCTTGGGGAGAATGCCAGCCTCCCTGGAGACTCAGGCCCTGCCGGACCCACATGCTGTCCTCTCTCATGGGCCAGAGACTCTGGTGCACAGGGATTCCCGAATAGCGAATCCCAAAGCCCTGCAGGTTTCACTGATTCTTACCTGAATGCCCCGGCCGAACACACAGGTAAACACAGGCAGCTACTAGGTTTTATATCCCTCTGGGTGTCATTTCAGGTTTATGACATCTCGTCTAGGTAGCTCGTGCCAGCCACCCTTTTCCTCCTCCCTCTGCCATTTGTGAGAACCATGAGGACTCTTTGCTTCTCCCTAGCATGCAGACTTCACGGGTCCTGAAGTTGGATTGCCAAACCCAGTGGCACCCTGCTTGCCAGCTTAAGAGCTGAGTTTGAGGCACACCTGTGGGCAGGAGTGTCAGCCCTCCCAAAACCAAGGTACACAAAGGGACACAGGCACAGGTGTGCACATGCGTGCATCAGCGTAGACACACAGGCTGGACACGCAAACTGGAACGTGCCCATACCCACACTGGTACGAGGGAAACTGGGTGTCTACACCAATACTCAGGTGAGGCTTACTGCTCAGCCACGTACCCTCCCTGGACACACACAGAAGATCCCCTGCCATTTAATTGATCATCTGCAGTAGGATTTATTTTTACTTTTATGCTTTTTTAACTTACCAAAGTATGTTGCATTCTTTTCCCCATCATGAAAAAGACTTTGATACAAGTAAAGAGGAAAAGCACTTTTTATAATGAAATCTTTTATCTGCATCTATATTATTAAGGCATTTTAAAAACTTTATGTCTATTTTTTAATGTCATAGGAAATATCTTGAGAGCCGGGGAAGCATGAGTGAGGATGGCAGAGGGGATAAAGCATGTCAGGGGAGCCTGGGGTCATTGAAACAAAACATGACACGGCTGGTATAGCCATTCTAGAAGTACGTAGACCTAGGCATGCCCTGCGTGCACTCTAGTTGAGCCCATACTGAGCCCCAGGTAGTAGCAGGCCTCAAGGCATAGAAGGGAGCCAGAGAAGGATGATGAGACAGCTATCCCTTGAGCGTTGCTTCTCACCCATTGACCTTTGCCACTTCTGCCTCTTAGGCACTTCAGGTTCCCCAATTCTGAAATATGAGTGTTACAGTTCCCTGATGGGCTTTTCTGCCCCAGTCCAGGGATGGCTGGGATTTCTCACTGCAGGCTCCTCCCTGAGCCTTGAGTTCTCCATGTGTGTCACAGCTGCAGGACCCACAGGCCTCTGAGCCCCCAGCTGTGGGCTGCTTACCTGGCCTCCTCTCTGTTCCCTCTCTGAGGACCTAATCCTTAGGTAGTGCTGCAGGGGATTGAGTCAGAAGCCCTGACTGATGATCTGGAGGAGTGGGGAAGTGGTCTGTGAAAGGTCAGGTCATAGTTCAAAGCCAGTTCCCAAGATGCCAAGGAAAGACCAGCAAGGTCCTTTCCCATGACACCCCACAGCGGCCCCTGCCTCAGCAGTCCTGGCTGACCCTGAGTGGTCACAGTCAGCCATCTAGCTGAGGAAGCTCAGGTAGGCTGTGTCCTTACTGAAGGTGGGGCTTCTTCTGATGACTCTAGAACCACTGGACTACACTAGAGCCAGAAGCCCTGCATCCTGGAACGAGTCAGAAAGGCTCATGCCAGGCCTAGCGTCCCACACTCCACCCTCTCTACCACACCAGGAGGCACTCCTTACCAAGGATGCGAACACGATATTCCTTAATGATCACTTTATTGTGGAAATAAAGGTAGTGATGAAAGGAACACTTCATCCTGCTGCCGGTACCCCGGATGACTGAGTTCCTCCACCTGCCATGCCAAGAAGAAGAGGACAGACTCAAAGGATCCATTTCATCTATCTGGGCTGAGGGCCTGCTGGCTGGGGTGAAGCATGTGTTGCCCCTTCCCAGCTCTACCACTCAGACACCCCTGTGCCCCAGGAGGACCTCAACCTGAACAGGACCCTGGACCCGTCCTGCAGACCCTGGCTCCTCAGCCTGAGCTTCAAATCCATCCTGTAGCTTACTTAGCAGGACTTCCTCATGGTTTCTGAACTCTGCCGACATGTAGGTGTGCTGCACAATCTGCCTCTGGTCAAGGAACCTCCAGATGATTGGGTGGGCATGCCAGGAAACACCCCACAACTTTGCAAGAGCTGGGAGAGTGTTTGGCAGGGCTATCCCAAAACCTTTGACCTGGTACCCTGCATTCGTGGTCCTGTCTCTGTCCAGTGTTGGGGGCATGGTAGTGGTTGTGGTGGTCTTGTGGGAGGGTGGAGGGAGGCCCAGAAAGCCCCTGCCAACAAGGAGCGGGCGGCACAAGTAGGCAGGGGATTGGGTGTGGGGTGCCGTTGTGTGAGGCGGCTGTATCTTCAGAGTTGCTGAGCTGCACATGGTCATTGTGTGCTGGATACTGGACTGGCTCTGCTGAGGGTGTCCAGGTGTGCAGTCCCCTCTTCTGGTCTCCCTGAGAGGTGGGCATGTCCACTTGATGGAGCTGCTGTGGATAGAAGGGACTGCAGGGCTGTGCCTGTCACTCCCCATGGGGCTCCCATGTGTGTAATGGAGGTGTATGTGCAACGGAGGTTGTATATGCCCAGGGCCTACAGCTCTTTGGGTGCAGTGCAGGCAGAAGGAAGAAAGCCTATCTGGGGAGCTGGTGCCTGCCTTGCAGATGACAGCAGCCCCGTGCACCGTGAACCTGAGTCTGAAGCACCTTGTGTTTCTGGGGTAAGGCTGCTGGCCACAGACATGGGCAGCCAGGGTGGTTTCTATGGCTGGCATGGGCATGCAGACTCCCCTTCCTCCAAGGACTTTCTCATGGAAACATGCCCTTCAAGTTTCTGCTGTGCGTGAAGGGTCCATGGGGCCGCTATTCTCCCTTGTGAGTGCTGAGCTTGGCTCCCAGTCCCTACCACGTGCTCTCAGGGCACCCCCAAGCAAGCTGCCCTCCTATCTGCAGGACCCTGGCCTCAGATCCCCTCACTATCCCCCATCCCCTTCCTCCTGGTTGGCCCCGTGTGCCCCTTGCTTGGCTCCCCTGCTCCCCACCCCAGGAAGCCAGATGCCCACCCCCTGCTGCCAGTCATTCCGAATGGGCAGCTGCAAAGATGTGGCTGTGGCCCAGAAGCTGGAGATGCCCTGGCTGATGGCCCCTGTGCCATCCAGGCGGGGGAGGCACCTCTGCCAAAGGTTCCCTCTCAGCTGTGGGCAGGCCATGTGGCCTGGTTATTCATGGAACTCTGCTTCAAGTGAAGGACCTCCAGCGAATCTGTGGCTGGCCAGGGTGTGCTGGGGCCAGGACCAGGCAGTGTCTGCTGGTCCTCCACCAGGCTCCATGTTGGCCTTCTTCTCAACCACCACCATGACGTTGTCCACCACCAGCACCTTCTCCTCCCCCAAGGGCGCCTTCGAGCTCTGTACCCTGGCTGCCCTCTCCTGCAGAACCTCCAATTTGAATGGGGTGCCTCCTTTGGAGGTCCCACTGACCATGACCTGCACTGTCCACTCCATGTCCAGATAAGCATATCCTTAAAATATACTTTAAAAAAATCTTAAAAGCATTCCCATTTCTCCACATCCTCTCCAACATCTGTTGTTTCCTGATTTTAATGATTGCCATTCTAACTGACATGAGATGGTATCTCTTTGTGGTTCCAAGGTCATGGATGAAGCTGAAAACCATCATACTAAGCACACTATCACAAGGACAGAAAACCAAACACTGCCTGTTCTCACTCATAAGTAGGAGTTGAACAATGAGAACACATGGACACAGGGCGGGGAACACCACACACGGGGCAGTCAGTGGGTTGCGGGGCTGGGGAGGGATAGCGTTAGGAGAAATACCTAATGTAAATAATGAGTTGATGTGTGCAGTAAACCAACATGGCACATGTATCCCTATGTAACAAACCTGTATGTTGTGAACATATACCCTAGAACTTAAAGTATAATAAAAAAAGGAAAAAATGGACACAGGAAGGGGAATATCACACTCCGGGGACTGTTGTGGGGTGGGGGGAGGGGGGAGGGATGGCATTGGGAGATACACCTAATGCTAGATGATGAGTTAGTGGGTGCAGTGCACCAGCATGGCACATGTGTACATATGTAACTAACCTGCACAATGTGCACATGTACCCTAAAACTTAATTTATAATAAAAAAAGAAAAAAAAGATAAAAGAAAAAAAAACTGAAAAGGAAAAATAGCTCTCCAAACCCAAATATTAAATAGAAGATTAGTATCAAGTGGCCTAGAATCTAACTCGCATGAAAATGTCACAAACATTCAGCGGATAGTTTCTAAATGCCACAATAAGCCTGGCAGTCTGCAAGAAGCTCAGAAAAACATGGTCCTTGCTCTTCTGAGAGTGCAGTTGTTACAGGCACAGAGATAAATGAGGAATAATAAGTGTGATAACTGCTGTAATAGGCAAATACAGGAAATACAAACCACATTTTCCTCATTTATGAAACACAAGCTTAAAAACCCTTTTGAAGTTCAAGTGAGAATATTTGCTGTTACTGTATAAACTGTCAAGTAGCTACACAAATGTTTTTTTTTTCTCACAGTGATTTATATTGTGTATATTACATGGTTAGTGTAGCATTCTCATAAAGGAAAGCCTGAAATGTGTCTGCTGCTCAGTTTTTGTTTCTCAACTTTTTCAGTCATTGTTATTTATCATATTTTTCCTAGGGGATTTTGAACTTTAAATAGAATATGTAAAAACTGAAAAGAGAAGGACAATGAAATTTCAAGACTACAGTCAATAATTCTATTGATTAATTCAATTGTTTACAGAGCAAAATTTGATTATATTTCTCCCAAAAAATTCTTGGAGAAATTCTAAGATGATGCACTCATTGTTAGAAATTGCCAGAAAGTTGTTGCTTAAGTTAAACTTAACACTTTTTAAGGCCTGAAGATACAGTAATAGTTATGTACTTAAACAGGAAAAATAGGATTTTTAGTGCTACTTTCTCTCACCTGAAATAATTATAACTTTTAAATTGGTATTTATGTCAAATTAAATTTTTCATTATTCTACATGATGTTTTGGATGAGGCATGCATTTTTAAATTTATTTTCACCCTTTTGGACTTCTGTGAGAAACTGCAGACTTAAATTCATATCACAACTATGTTTCAGTTTTACTTGTCTGTTCCTAAAGGTTCATAAAAATAAAGAATTCCACTTATGCTTGTACCTTTTAGTAACCTTATTTCAGATAACGGTGCATATTACTGCAGAAATCACATGGACAGGTCCAAAGCGGGGAGGAGGAGGATGAGGAGGAGGAGAAGAAGAAGAAGGAGGAGGAGGAGGAGGCAAGCTTTTAAGTCTATACATTAGTATCACTGTATCAGAAACTCAGTAGTCACAGTGAAATAAAAACAATGATCACAGTCAATTCCATCTCATACCTAGACTGAAATATGAAACTTCTAAAGAAAAGAAAGTTAAGAACTTTGGGCATATCAAAATTTTCCTATACTGATAAAATTATTGGTGACTTTTTCTCACTAGAAAACATAAAATTCCATGCTTTGTATATGTGTAAATAAAAATATTTTATTTCCATCAGTTATGATATGCAAGCAAGTAATAAAGTGAAAGTACAATAATGAAATAAGGAAATTTCTCTGTGTCAAAAAATTCCATTGAGGCTATTAATTTTACAAAAACCACAGAGAATGCATCATGAAACTACATTATACAGTACTTTTTAGTATTTTACTTGCATTTTAAATAATCAACAAATGAAAGGAAATTCTTAATCGTTATTTATTACCAATAACATTACTCAAATAATCCTTTTGAGATTAAGTATTTTAAACAAAACATTAAAAACAAATTGTATTGACTGATATCAGCTTTCAATGAAATAACACTTCTGTATTCGTAGTCATGTGAAGTATAAAATTCTCCTTACAGTGGATCTTTTATAACACCAGTTTTATTATTTTCTCTGATACAAACCCTGTAATATCTCATGGCTTTACTGTATCCATATATTACATGCCTCCAGAGAGTAGGCTTCAAACAGAGGGAAAAATTATATTTGTGACAAAATTCTAGGAAAGGGAAAGTTAAAATGGGAGAATAATTTCTAAATTTCTAACTGTTCATCAATGGATTTGGATATATTTAGATATAGACAAATATTTGCACACTGTAAGTTAGCACATGTGTATATTAAATTTATATGAGATACTCATAATGTATGGGTTGTGTAATCTTTTAGTTCTCAATTTTTCATGTGGGAAATTTGGTAAGAGTTTATCCTTATCAAATAATCAATTTGAAGTCCTATACTCAATTTGATGTAAAATCAACAAAATCTCTGTTGACATTCACTTTAATTGATCCAATAATGTTAACTGCTGATAGCTTCATTCTCCTTGTCCCAGGTTGGCAGCCTGAAAGTTGATTCTCACTCTAATTCAGCACTCAAGGTGCCATCCACAACAGACTATTACTTTGCTGTGGATTGTGACTTCTCACACCAACACTTTTTTCCTGTAACAGTCCTACCTTTGTATGTTTAAAGAATTTGTAAGTGGCTAAAAAAAATAAAAGTGCAGTGAAATGTCAGGCCATTCTGTGAAATTTTCCATTGTTTCTATATCTCTGATTTACCTTTCATGTTATGGAGAACAAGAGAAACAATTCAATACGTTTCTTAGTATCCAGTCCAATGCACCCTTTCTTATTAATACCAAACCCATCCATTCAAGGCACTGACATCTAAACACAGCTAGATATATCAAAATCTCTTCTCATTAAAAACCTTTATATTAATCACTGTTGCCCAGATCTGGACTCTGACTATGAAATCCTCAGATGGAAATTGCTGTAATGACTCACACTATGGGAATGACTATTTTTCAGCATAATTATTGCTGTCAACTTACTGAAGAATATCACATTAGATGGTAGCTCTTAGATACATAAATCCTAGTGATTAATATTTAATGTCCAGCGTTTATGATATTGCACAAGTAAAAATCTTTGATACCTTAAATGATTAGCTGAGCAATGACTTAAATAACAGCAATTCAAACCTTAATTTACTTACTATAAGTGCCATACATCATTAACTCCTGGTGAATACAAAGTTGGGAAATTTCAAGTGCTGAATTGGTTACTAAGTTGGGAAATTTCAAGTGCTGAATTGGTTACTAAATTATGTATTTCATGGTATTTTATAAAACTATCCTTGCCATGTATGATGCCTCACCTACAAGGATGAAGCTTTAGCATATATATATATATATATATATAAAATGTCTTTGGTTCTTAATATCTCTCTACATTTGTCTTCAAAACCTCAACACAAAAACACTCATGTACTTGACTTTCAGCTGACTTGACTACCAGTTATTAGGGTTTCAGTAAACAAAATAACGATTTCAAAATTTGTTGACCAAATATGAGAAATCACCCTCTCACCATAAGAAATAATTATTCTCAAGTGCTTCTGCAAATGCAAAATTGAAAGAAGAAATGAAGTCTAACATATTGCAATATTGTAAAATCTAAAATTTCCTCTTTGAGATCTGGTGGTTCATGCCTGGAATCACAGCTCTTTGGGAGGCTGAGAAGGGAGAATTGCTTCAAACCCAGAGTTTGAGACTAGCACAGGCAACATAGCAAGACCAGTCTCTACAAAAGTAACTAATTAATTAATTAATTAAATTGGGCATGATGGCACACACCTATTTTTCTATTCACTCAGGAGTTCAATGTTGCAGTGGGCTGTGATTGCACACTGCACTTCAGCCTGGGCCACAGGGCAAGACTTTGTTTCTACAAAATAATTCAATATAACAGAACAAAGTCAAACAAAATAAAAACACTTTCCGGTGTTCTTTGGAAGTTTGTACAATTGCTCCAAAGCATAGACATTGTTTAAAGTTGAGCAGTTCATGGGGAATGGGCAGTGAACATTGTTTATATTGTTTTCCAAAAATTAGGATAAATATGTTATAATATTATATGTAAATATCTAATAACCTTTGGTACAATAAGTATTGACAAATGACAGGCCATTGTGTTTATAGACATTTCCTTCAAAATATTCATAGTTTAATTGGAGAATAAAGAGAACAGCGATAATTGCAATGTACTCTGACAAGTGTTACAATAGACACAATTTAGTAACTTAGTTGGAGAGGAATGAAGTTCTTAACGGGGTTTGCAGGGGTTTGGGGACCATTCTTAGGGCAGGAACAATTGACTGGATCAGTAAGGATTCAAATTTCCATGAAGAATGTTTGGGAGGAAAACATTGTAGAAAAAAAGAAACATTCTTTCTATCAAAAGAAGTACTAACAATGCACATGATGCCATCTGACCAATTCTTAGACCATACTAGCTCACTAAATATTTCTTGAATGAATCTATGAAAGGAAGCTATTGGGAAAGGGATTCTGCAAGGGATTTTCAAAATCCTATAAAGGAAAGTTAATACCCTGGACTTTACAATTTTGCCTGCTTTTGTTTATGTTCTTATTATGTTTACTACCTCATAAGCTCTGTTTTACTTTTTGTCCTCTTCACAAATATCATGCATGAATCATTCCTGATACTACTTCTCTCTTAATCTCTTCATACTATATTTCTCTCTGATACTCCTTTGTGTGAGGTCCTGGGTTTGTATGCCCACAGATACATCACTCACCTCTCCCTGGCACTATTCTGTTATAGAGATGCCTGACCCCTGGGAGGCACATTTCCTAGGCTCCCATAAAATTTACTCCCTATTTTAGGTCAGTCAAGGGGTGATACTGCAGAGATTAGAGAAAAAGATGAGAGAAGCCTGTTTGTTTCCCTTTCCTTCTCAGTAGGGGATATCTTTCCACAGTAATTCCATGGCCTGCAGGACATGCCATCTGTGTTTCCATTTTCTATGTAGTGACCCTAATCCTAGTCTGGTTCTTCTAATGCCATCTTCTCCAATTGTCTTCTCTAAAGGATCTGGGTACTATTTTTGGAGTTTTAAATTTAAAAAATATTGATATGGAAGGGGGGCAGGGAAGTGTCTGGTAGAGGAGGGTGTGATTCTTGGCTAGGGATCCACCCTCAGGCCTGTGCTCACTGACCTAGATGAGGACACACACTTCTGTTTTCTTGCCCAAATTGGTGAGGACATGCCCTTCTGTTTTTTTGTTTTTTGTTTTGTTTTGTTTTTGTTTTGCCCAAGTGTTGCACTTTCCAAGACCACCCTGGCCTGCCATACCCCCATCATCTTCTATAAGAATCCCTGAGACCCTAGCAGGCACAGACAGAGCAGCTGGACATCGACAGGAACCATCAGCAGACAAAGACACAGCAACTGGACCCCAAGAAGACACCAGAGAAAGGAGAGGACAAGGATGGAGGTGGTAGGCTATTCACCACAGAAGAACACGGAGTTCCTCGGGGCTGTGAGAGGAGATCGCTGAGCTGCCCCATTCCAGGGGAAAAGCACCTTCTCACTCCATCTCCTTTCTAGCTCCCCATTCATCTGCTGAGAACTTCCACTCAATGAAACCTTGCACTTACTGTAGAAGCCCACGTGTGAGCCAGTTCTTCAATTACATCAAGGCAGGAAATCCAGGGATCCAGAAAGCCCTCTGTCCTTGCAGTAAGGCAGGGTGTCTAATTGAGCTAACACAACCTGCCTACAGATGAATAAACTAAATTAACGCCGTGTAACATATGCCCAATGGGGATTCAGGAGCTGTAAAAATTCACCCCTGGATGCTGCCTGGGGTCAGAGCCCCACAACCTGTCCTAATTTCTTGCCCAGCAGTGGGGGATAAGAAATATTTTCCTGTTTCAATATGAGTCTGTTTCCAATGCAGTGTGCTTTCTGCAATACTGCAGTGTTACTTCATTGTATATATTTAACAAAATAAGTTACAAACTGTAACTAATATGAGAAGAAAATAAATGGTGGGGAATAAGGAAGAAAAATGAAACATTGTGTTTTACAATGAATGTAAACAATTATAAGTATGATTAATCAATATGTCAGACCAGCCAGGCAGGTGCTTAACGTCATGAGGGGACACTACTTCACCATCTTGGGATTTCATTCTGGGACAGAGAGTGTGAGCAGCAATAAGGTCTGATAGGGAAAGGGATACAATCTGGTGTGGTGTGGATTGTGTCCCACACCTGCACCTGAAAAAAAGGTGAGGACAGATGACACAGAAGTTGCTTCCACCTGCATCCCCACATTCCGTTGATTGCACAAGCAGCCCACACCATGGCCCTGTGTTCAAGTGGGTATTCTCCAACCTGCCATTAACATATGGAGTGCAAACTGGGGTTTTGCACTTTGATGATTTTCATACCCAGGGCCAAATGGGAGTGGGATGGATTGATGTGGGTGGGATGTGGCCTCCACACTTGCCTCTTCATTTTCTGACTTTGTGTTCCTCATCGAATTAGGGTTTCCTTGGTCTGGTTCACCATCTTCCACACAAAACATTTCCCAGTTCATGAAGGATGACCCTCATGGGAATTCATTGCATAAGTGTTTCCTTCTTAACACTCATGTTTTAGATGGCTGGACAGCTTTGATAGTTTTAAAATGTAAATTCCCACACAGCCACCAACAGGGAAACAACTCATCTCCCACTTCTATCGGAGGGTGGCACAATTCCTGTAGGATGAGAAGCAGGTAACAGTGTCTAACATTTGCCTCGTTATCTAGGCTCTGTTTCATTTCATGTGCACATCCTTTCTCATTGTCACAGGGCTCCTTCACTGGGCTGTTGCTGGATGGAACTACTCTCACCACAGATCTTTTGGCTTCCAGGGATTTCAGAGAGGAAATGGGACTTCAGATAGACTGGCTGAACTCCAGGTTGTGGGTCCTGGTTGCGTCTTGGGGGCTGAGGATATTTGCACTTTGAAGGAGGATTTTGGGTCCTCTGACAAGAATCGTTGAACGTTGCTTGGACTCCAGCACAAGGCAGCTCATTCTCATAGGTGAGCATTGATTTTTCTTTGCTTTCCTGGGGTGTCCACATTGCCCATCAATAACATTACTGGACACCTTTTTCAGGCTTGCCATCGCCACAGATGGCCTCTTAGACACTGTCACAAGCTCATCTGCCCACAAGCGAGGCCAGATCAAGGTGAGAGAACACTGCTCAACCTTGGATTTGCCTATGTCGTGGTTCCTGCCTTTCCCAGATAGGCCCTGTGAGGCCGAGGATGAAGGGAGGCAGTGAGGTGAAGTGCCCAGCACCTTTCAACTCTGAGGTCTTAGGTATGATTCCATCACATAAAGAACCCTCAACAACTCATCAGACTCTTCCAATCCCCATCGGACCTGATTCTTGCACACAGACTCTTTCAGGAATGGAGACAGAAGAGCCATCTCCAGCGACCACCTCACAGTCTCGAAATACCTCCTCCTCCACCGGGACCTGACCAGCGAGATGACCCAAAGGGGCAATAAGGTCAAGACTCTTAGGTTCCTGCAGTAGGTTATCACAGACAGCCTTTTTCTCAGTACCAGTCTAGCTCTGCCTGTACCATTTTCATCTGCTTAGGCAGCCTGACAGCTCTGACAGCCAGGCATCCAAGCCTGCCTCACGAATGCGCATATGATAGCCTCAAAGTACCAGACCTGAGAAGGGAGCTATTGCTAGCTTCACAGTGAATGCCACCATTGCCTAGTGACAAGTCCCTGTGGCTTGGCAGAGAAGGAGAACTCCCTGGAGGTGTGTTGGCGGTGGAATCTTGCCTGTCTTGTCTCAGAGATCCACAGGACAGTCCCATGATTCTAGGAGTGAGTAGATGTGAGTCAGCCTGAAGAAACATCAAGCAGAACCCCAGGAAGGAACTGTGAAATCCCTACAGATCCATAAGGATCTGCAGGATGCCTCAGGCCTAATTAGACGTTGTAGGGGTGAGTATTTTTGAAACTCGTCCCACAGTGATTACTAGGTACAGCCCACCTGTGTTCCCCGGGGTTGCTCTCTCCCAGGTGGGGCTTCCTGAAGAACCACTTAGCCTCAGGAGCTGCTGGGCTGTGTTTCTGTTGGAGTGTTGCAAGTGTTGGATGTCTGCTTGCCTGTGTGGCTTTGTGTATTTGTGGGTGTATGTGTGGGTGTGCATGCCTGTAAGTGGAGTCTGCTTATAGTAGTGTGGCTAACACATTGCAGTGCTTCTTTTTTTTCAGTAACTCAACATTCTGGTCGCCTGTGTGTCTGTGGCTCTGCTTGGACTGTGGGTCTCTGTGTTCTTTATTCTTCTGTGGATCGTGAATCTGCAGCGAATTGGGAGTCTGGTTGAGACCCGCCGGAGGCCAAACTACCTCCCCCTGCCAAAAAAGAAAAAGGTACTCTTCTGGAAAGAAGAGGGGCACGTCATACCCAGGAATTGACGCCTCCCAGTGTTTCATTGTCCTGTGGCCAACCCAGGGAGGGACACTAGCAGTCTTGTCCACAGGACCCCTTGAATTTACCTCCAATTCATTTCCCAGCCAAGCAGGTGCTTAACGTCATTAGGGGAAACTCCTCCATTGTCTTGGGATTTCATTCTGAAACAGAGAGTGTGAGCAGCCGTAAGTTCACATAGGGGTGAGCATACAATCTGGTGAGGGGTGGACGGGGTCCTGCAACTTCACCTGCAAAAAAGGTGAAGACAGAGGACATGGACAGTGCTTCCAAATGCATCTCTGCATTCCCTTAATTGCACCAGCAGTGTGCACCATGACCCTGTGTTCACCTGGGAGTACTCCAACGTGCAGGGAACATTTGGTGTGCAAACTGGGGCCATCCTGGCAAACTCCTGATTTGAGGGCTTTCATTCCCATAGCCAAATGGGAGTGAGATGCATTGACGCTGGGTGGGATATAGCCTCCATACTTGCCTCTTCCTTTCCTGTCTTCCATGTTCCCTGTCGGCCTAGGTTTTCCTGGGTCTGGCTAAGGTCTTACACACTAAACATTTCCCCATTCATGGAGGATGACCCTCACTGGAATTCATTGCATGTTTCCTTCTAAACACTGTCACATTTTAATGACTGGGCTCCTTTGATACATTTAAAACCATAAGTCAGCATTACATATGCCATAAAAGAAACTCTTTTTCTCCCACTTCTGTTGGAGGGCTGCATGATTCCTGTAGGATGAGAAGCAGGCAGGCATGTCTGGCTTTTGTTTGGTAATCTAAGCTGTGTTTCATTGTGTCTGCATGTCCTTTCTCATTGTGGAGGAAGTATTTCATTGGACTGTGGCTGGATGCAACTGCCTCTCTCCACAGATCTCTTGGCTTCCAGGGATTTCAGGGAGCAAAAGGGAAGTCGGATAGGCTGGCTGCACTCTAGAGTGTGGATCCTGGTCTCTTTGTGGGGACTGACTTTGTTTGCACTTTGCAAGAGGATTTGGGTCCTCTGACAGGAATCTTTGATCACTGCTTGGACTCCAGCACAAGTCAGCTCCTTCTCTCAGGTGAGTTTTGATTTTTCTTTGCTGTCATGGTGGGTCCACACTGACTTTCAACAACACTACTGGACACCCTTTTCAGGCTTGCAATGGCAACAAATGGTCTCTGAGACACTGTCTCAACCTCCTCTGCACCTGTGAGCACCCACTTTGAGGTGTGAGAACACTGCTCCACCTTGGACTTTCCTTTGCCATGGTCCCTGCCTTTCCCAGAGAGCCCTTGCAAGGTTCAGAGTGAAGGGAGGATGTGAGGTAAAGGGCGTGGCTAACTTTCGCTGACAATGCCTCTGTGGTCTCAGGTATGATTCTGTCAATCAAAAAGAACCCTGAACAACTCACCAGATTATATTCCAAACCCCATGGGAACCAATTCTTGCACAGAGTCTCTTTTGGGAATAGAGTCAGAAGAGCAGCATCCGGCGATCACCACACAGTCTCAAAATTCCTCCTTCTCCAGCCAGACCAGGCCACAAAAATGGCCCGATGGGGCCCTAAGGTCGAGACTTACAGGGTCCCGCAGTGGGTTATCGCAGAAAGCCTTTCTCCCGATACTAGGCTGGCTCTGCCTGTACCATTTTCCTCTGCTTAGGAAGGCTCACAGATCTGAAAGTTGGGCGCCCGCTCCTGCCTCGCGAATGCGCATGCGCTCTTCTCAAGCTACGAGGCCTAAGCTGTGAGCTTTGTCTAGCATCACAGTGAATGCCATCGTTGCATAGCAGCAAGTCCCTGTGGCTTGGTGGAGAAGGAGACCTCCGTGGAGGTGCGTAGGCGGTGGACTCTGGCTGTTTTCTCTGTGGGATCACGGGATAGTCCCATGATCCTAGGAGAGGGCAGACGTGAGCCAGCCTGACGAAAAGTCAAGCAAAGCCCCAGGGATAAACAGTGAAATTCCTAAGGATCCAAGTATATCTGTAGGATGCCTCAGGCCTGCCTAGACGTTGTAGGAGTGAGTCCTTTAGAAACTTGCCCCAATGTGATTTCGAGGAACAGACCACCTGTGTACCCTGTGGTTGCTCTCTCCTTGGTGGGGCTTTCTGCAGAACCATGAAGCCTCAGAAGCTGTCTGGGTGTGTGTTTCTGTGGGATTGTTGTGAGTGTTGGATGTCTGCTTATGTGTGTGGCTTTGCCTTTGTGTGTGAGTGTGTGTGTTAGTGGAGTCCGCTTAAATGAATGTGGCTAACACTCTGTAGTGCATCTTTTGTTTGAGTCTTCCCATCTTTTGGTGGCCTATCTATGTGGCTCTACCTGGACTCTGTGGCTCTGTGGTCTTTATTTTTTTGTGGATAAAGAATCCTCAGTGAATTGGGAGGCTGGCTGTGACCTGACAGGGTCCAAATCACCTACCCCTGCAATAAAAGCCACTCCTCTTCACACAGAAGTAGACATCTCCCGCCATGTTTCATTTACCTGTGGCCAAGCCCGAGAGAGACACTAGCAGTCCTGTCTGCAGGGCCCCTTGAATTTACCTAGAATTCTGTTCCCAGCTGAGCAGGTGCTTCAAGTTGGGAGGGGGCACTCCTCCATCATCTCGGGATTTCATCCTGGGACATAGAGTGTGAGCAGCAATAAGATCAGATAGGAGTGAGGACAAAATCTGGCTAGGGATGGATGGGGTCGCGGAACTTTACCCACACACACACAAAAAATGAATGCAGATGACACAGAAGGTGCTTCCAACTCCATACCCACATTCACTTAATTGCACAAGCAGCCCACACCATGGCTCGATGTTCACGTGGGAGTACTCCAACGTTCAAGGAACATTTGGAGTGTAGGTTTGGGCTATCCTGGCAAACTCTTGATTTCAGGGGTTTCATACCCAGAGACAAATGGAAATGGTATAGCTTGATGTTGGACGGGATGGGTCTTCTGCAAGGCCTTCTCATTGTGGACGAGCTCTTTCATTGGGCTGTTGCTGGATGGGACTGCCTCTTGCCACATATTATTTTGCTGCCAGGGATTTCAAAGAGCAAAAGGGACTTTGGGTAGGCTGGCTGCACTCCATGTTTCAGGTGGTCCTTGTCTCATTGTGGGGTCTGAGGTTGTTTGCACTTTGCAGGAGGCTATTGGGTCCTCTGACAGGAATCATTGAACATTGCTTCAACTCCAGCACAAGGCAGCTCATTCTCTCAGATGAGTCTTGGATTTTTCCCTGCTTTCATCAGGAATCCACAGTGCCTCTCAACAGAACTACTGGACATAGTTTTCAGGCTTGCCATCACCACAGATGGCCTCTGAGATACTGTCTCAACCTCATCTACACCCATGAGAGGTCAGTGCAAGATGTGAGAACACTGCTCCATCTTGGACTTGCCTTTGTTGTGGTTCCTGCCTTCCCCAGAGAGCTCCTGCAAGGCCGAGGATGAAGGGAGGCAGTGAAGTCAAGAGCCTGTCCGTCTTTTATAGACACCTGCCTCTGGGGTTTCAGGTATGATTCTATCACCGAAAGAACCCTCAAAAATACACCAGAATATATTCCAAACTTCACGGGACCTGATTCTGGAATACAGCCTCTTTCAGAGAAAGAGTGAGAAATGCAGTTTCCAGGGACCACCTCATGGTTTTGAAGCACATCCATCTCCAGGGGGACCTGACCACGGAGAAAGCCTGAACATGCTTTGAGGTTGAGACTCTTAGGGTCCCACAGTGGGTTTTTGCAGACAGCCTTTTTCCCAATACCAGGCTGTCTCTGCCTGTACCATTTTTCTCTGTATAGGCAGGCTGACAGTTCTGATAGTCAGGCACTTGTGCCTGCCTCATGAATGGGAATGAGCATGTCTCAGGGCATCATGCCTGATTGTGAGCTCTGGCTGGTGTCACAATGAATGTCACCATTGCTTAGACAAAAGTCCCTGTGGCTGGGTGGAGAAGGAGAACTCCATGGAGGTTCGTTGGTGGTGGACTGTCGCTTGTCTTTTCTGTGGGATCCATGGGATAGTCTGATGAATCTAGGAGATGGCAGAGGTGAGCCAACCAAAAAAAAAAAAAAAAAAAAAAGTTCAAGCACAGCCCCAAGAAAAAACTGCAAAATCCCTAAGGATCCAAAAGTATCTGCAGGATTTGTCAGTCCTGCCTAGACGTTGTAGGGGTAAGTCTTTTTGTAACTTGCCCCACTGTTATTTCTAGGTACAGCCCACCTGTGTTCACTGGAGTTGCTCTCTCTCAGGTGGGGCTTCCTGAAGAACCACACAGCTTCAGGATCTGCTGGGCTGTGTGTTTCTGTTAGAGTGTTGTGACTTTTGGATATCTGCATGTGTTTGTGTGGCATTTGTGTGTGTGTGGGTGTGTATGTATGTGTGCACCTGCAAGTGAAGTCTACTTAAAGAAATGTGGCTAACACACTTCATGGCTTTATTGTTTTGAGTGTCCTAACATTCTGGTAGCCTATATGTGTGACTCTGCTTGGGCTGCGGAGTTCCATGTTTTTTCTCTTTTCTCTTTTTTTTTTCTGTGGATCATAAATCCTCAGTGAATTGGGATAGGGTCCAAGAACCTCTGGCATCCTAATTACCTAACACTGCAAAAAAATAAAATCCGCAACAAAAAAACAAACATCTCCCATTGTTTCATTGTCTTGCAGCCAACCCAGGGACAGACACTAGCAGTATTGTCCACAGGGCCCCTTGAATTTACCTCGAATTCAGTTCCCAGCCAAGCAGGTGCTTCAAGTCATGAGGGGGCACTCCATCATCCTGGGATTTCATCCTGGGACCTAGAGTGTAAGCAGCAATAAAGTCAGATAGTGGTGAGGATACAATCTGGTGAGGGGTGTATTAGGTCCCACAACTTTACCTGGAAGAGAAATGACACAGAAGGTGCTTCCAACTCCATCCCTGCATTTCCTTAACTGTACAAGCAGTCCACATCATGGCCCAGTGTTCAGGTGGTGAGGAAAGATGCCACCTCTCTTATTGTCTCATAAATCAGAAAAAGAAAGAGGAAGTAAAAACTAAAGAAAGGCAGAAATGAGATCAATAGTCAGAAAGCTGGCACCACACTCCAGGCCTGGTACTTAAAAATCAACCCTGACCTAACCACTTGTATTATCTATAGATCCCAGACATTGTGTGATGAAGCATTGTCAAACTTTCTGTTCTGTTCTATTCTGTCCTGGTTACTGATCCATGCAGCCCAGCCACATACCGATGCTTGCTCAATTGATCATGACACTTTCACATGGATCCCCTAGATTTGTAAGCTTTAAAAGCTGCAGGGATCTCTCTCTCAGGGAGCTCAGTTTTTGAGTCACAAGTCTGCTAATGCTCCTAGCCAAATAAAGCCACTTCCTTCTTTAAGCTGGTGTCTGAATGGTATTGTCCATGGCTGCTCCTGCTACATTTTTCAGTTCCTTGACTGGAAGTAACGTGATTAGCATAAGGTTGAGGCAGCCCATTAGGTGGCTTAGGTCTGCCTTGTGGAGCATCCTTGAGGAGGACTCCATCCAGCTTGAGCGATGTGGATCCTGAGAGAGCTCCAGGGTAGGCAATAGCCCCAGTGGAATGCCTCACTAGAGCAGTACACAGCAGGCTCCCACAAAGGATCGATGTAGTGGCTGTACACCAGGAAGGAACTGGTACTTGGAGTCTGGACATCTGGAACATGGTATGGCTGGTCTTGGGAACTTGCCTACTCCAAGTGGAAGCATGGCCTGATACCCACGGCATGCCTTTCTCAGCACTTTGGTTTAGGTTTAGGTTTTGACTTGGATTGAATTACTTGATTTAGTTTGAATAAGAGTGTGTGACCTTTACCCTTTCCTTCTTGCAGTGTGAGTATTGTCTTTTCTTGGGAGAAAAATGAATCAGACACAAAGTAAGTCCAACTTGCTAGGAAATATGTTGAAAAATTTCAAGAAGAGATTTAAAGGAAACTATGGAGTTACTATGACACCAGGGAAACTTAGAACTTTGTGTGAGATAGACTGGCCAGCGTTTGAAGTGGGTTGGCTATCAGAAGGAAGCCTAGATAGGTCCCTTGTTTTAAAGCAATGGCACAAGATAATCTGTAAGCCAGGGCACCCAGACCAGTTCCCATACATAGACACTTGGTTATAGCTGGTTTTAGACCCCCTGCACAGTGGTGAAGAGGACAGACAGCAGCAGCAGTGCTAGTGGCAAAAAGACAGATAGCCAAGGAAGCATCCAACTCCACCCGCTGAAGGAAGTCAGCTCCTAAAGTTCTGTCTGACCCAATATGAGAAGACTCATGGCAGGAAATGGCACCAACGATGCCCCCAACCTTATCAAGAAGAGAGACTCCCTACTCCTGAGCCCACAGCACCTGTGCCTCTGCAGGACACACACCCACCCCTATGCCACCAGAGTAGACAAGAGAGGATGTGAAGCCGTGGGAGAAACCCCACCCTTGGCAGTTCACTGATGACCTAAGGCTGGGATTCAAATTCCCCTGCGGAAGCAGCAGTGTAGTGTGGTAAAGGAGGATGGGCATATGTTGAAAAGGCGTGCCTTCATGTATCAACCCATTACATCTGCTGAACTCCTAAATTGGAAAAATAATACCCCATTTTATACTGAATAGCCTCAAACTTTAATTGATTTACTCCAAACTATTATCCACACCCACAACCCTACTTGGGCCAATTGCTGCCAGCTGCTTATGTACCTCCTTAACACAGATGAAAGGCGAAGGGAGTTTCAGACAGCAACCAAGTGGCTGGAGTGACATGCTCTGGCCAGTTACCAAAATCCGCAGGAGTATGTGAGGATCCAAGTACCAGAAACAAACCCCAAGTCGACCCAAATGAAGGGAAAGGTATAGAAGGGCTAAAGCAATATAGGGAAGGCATCCTGGAAGGGTTAAAGAAGGGAGCTCAGAAGGCCAGAAATGTTAACAAAGTGTCTGAGGTCATTCAAGGAAAAGAAGGGAGTCCAGCACAATTTCATGAAAGACTTTGAGGCCTATTGTAAGTATACACCGTTTGACCTTGAAAGCCCTGAAAATTAAAGCATGATTAACATGGCTTTTGGTCATCAAAGCACAGGAGACATTATAAGAAAACTTCAGAAACAGGCTAGGTTTGAGGGCATAAACACATCACTGTTATTGGAAATAGCCAATCAGGGTTTGTGAATAGAGATGCAGCAGGCCATAGAGAAAGCTGCAAAGAAAGCAAGCACCAAGCCAGGTGAAAGGCTGACCTCCTAGTCACAGCTATTAGAGGGTTTCACCCAAAGGGCCAAAGAAGGGAAGGCCCTGGGAAAAAAACACCCAGTTTGACCAACCGCACCTGCAGCATAACAAGTGTGCATACTGTAAAGAAATAGGGCATTGGAAAGACAAGTGCCCCCAGTTAAAAGAGAAACAAAATGGCTCTGAGCCAGAGGTCTCAAGCAAGGATGAAGTGGCCTTGTTTAATTTGGCAGAAGAGTTACTGGACTGAGGGGAACTGGGCTCAGGTGCTCCCTATGAGCCCACAGTCAGTATGACAGTCAGGGGCAAAGTTTCTTGTCAATACTGGTGTGGAACATTCAGTAGTAACCACCCCGGTCACCCCTTTATCCAAAAATACTATTGATATATTCAGAGCCACAGGAGTCTCAGAGAAACAAGTTTTCTGCTTGCCCCAGACTTGTACTGTAGGGGGACATGAATCCCTGTTCATTATGGCCCTTATGGTACCCTGGGAGGAGGAATGGAGACTTTTCTTAAGTAAGTCAGGCAAAGAGATAGGACCAGCTCTGGCTAAGTGGTAGCCAAGTGTGTGGGCAGAAGATAAACCTCTAGGACTGGCAGTCAACCAAGCCACCATACTCATAGAAGTTAATTTTGGGGTCCAGCCGGTCAGGCAAAGACAGCGCCCAGTCCCCAGACAAGCTCTTGAGGTTCATCTCAAATGTCTGAGAGCCTTTGGAATTATAGTCCCTTGTCAGTCGCCATGGAACACTCCCCTCCTGCCTGTTCCTAAGCCAGGGACTGAGGACTACAGGCGAGTACAGGACTTGTGCTTGGTCAGTCAAACTACAGTGACTTTACATCCAACAGTACCTAACCCATACACATTATTGGATTATTGTCAGCTGAGGACAGGTGGTTCACTTGTCTAGACCTGAAGGACACCTTCTTTAGCATCAGACTATCTCCTGAGAGCCAGAAACTGTTTGCCTTCCAGTGGGAGGGAAGATCTGGGGTTAGGTGTCACCACTCAGTACACTTGAATCCTGCTTCTCCAAGGGTTCAAGCAGTCACCCACCACCTTCTGGAGGTGCTGGCTTGAGACCTCAAAAAGTCCCCCACCAAAGACCTATGCTGCATTTTGTTCCAGCACATTGATGATCTTCTGCAGGCTCACCCCATGGCAGTTGGGTGTGCCAGAGGGACAGAGGCCCTCCTTCAGTAGCTGCAGGAGTGTGGGTATAAGGTGTCCAAGAAGAAAGCTCAAATCTGAAGACAGCAGGTAAGCTACCTGGGATTGACTATCCAACAGGGGGAACACAGCTTGGGGTCAGAAAGAAAGCAAGTCATCTGCAGCCTATTGGAGCCTAAGACCAGAAGGCAAGTGAGAAAATTCTTAGGAGATGTGGGGGTTCTGCAGACTGTGGATTGCAAACTTTGCAGTACTAGCCAAGCTTCTGTATGGGTTTACAAAGGGGGAGACCAGGAAGCTTTTGAATGGGGGTCCCAACAAGAGCAAGCCTTTTATGAGTTAAAAAAGAAACTCATGTCAGCTCCAGCTCTGGTTCTGCCTGACCTGACAAAGCCATTTACACCATATGTGTCAGTGAGAGAAAAAATGGCAGTTGGGGTTTTGACTCAGAATGTGGGGTCCTGGCTGAGGCCAGTGGCCTACCTCTCTAAAAAACTAGACAGGGTTTCTAAAGGTTGGCCCTCTTGTTTGAGGGTCTTAGCAGCAACTGTCCTGATAGCACAAGAAGCAGATAAACTAACTCTTGGGCAAAACATGAACATAAAGGCCCCACATGCTGTGGTGACTTTACTGAATACCAAAGGATATCATTGGCTAATGAATGCTAGCCTAAGCAAGTACAAAGCTTGCTCTGTGAAAATCCCTGCACAATCAATGAAGTTTGTAACAACCTGAATTTTGCCACCTTGCTCCCTGTATAAGAAAGCCCTATTGAGCATAACTGTGTAGAGGTGTTGAACTCAGCTTACTTTAGCAAGCCTGACGTGTATGAACAGCCTTGGGCATCAGTGGACTGGGAGGTATATGTGGGTGGGAGCAGCTTTGTCAACCCACAAGGAGTGAGGTATGCAGGATATGGAGTGGTAACCCTGGACGCTGTCACTGAGGCCAAACTATTGCCATAGGGTACTTCAGCCCAGAAAGCCAAGATCACTGCTTTAATTTGGGTGTGAAAACTCAGTGAAGGTAAGACTAAAAACATTTACACTGACTCTTGGTATGTTTTCTCAACCCTCCAAGTACATGGAGCATTATATAAAGAAAAAGGGCTGTTAGTCTCTGGAGGAAAGGACATAAATCATCAGCAATAAATCTTGTAATTATTAGAAGCAGTATGGAAACCCCAAAATGTGTCAGTCATGCATTTCAGGGGACACCAGCAAGCTTCTACCGTGGTTGCTTTAGGGAACTCCAGAGCTGACTCAGAGGCTCAAAAAGCAGCCTCCACCCCTACCAGACATTGGTCTCAACCCCCATGCTTCCTCAGACACCTGACCTTGTACCTACTTGTTGTAAAGAGGAGAAAGACTTCTTTCAGGCAGAAGGAGAGCAAACAGCAAAAGAGGGATGGATCCAGTTACCAGACAGAAGAATAGCCATGCCACAGCTGCTAGGAGCCACAGTTGTACTGGCTGTGCATGAAACTACCCCTCTAGTTCAGGAGTCACTTAAAAAATTGTTAGGCTGGTACTTCTACGTCTCATATTTGTCAGTCCTTTCCAAAACCATGGCATAGCGATGTATTTTATGCTGACAACAAAATGTGAGGGAGGGTCCAGCAATTCTGCCCAGCATACAAGTTTATGGAGCAGCCCCCTTTGAAGATCTCCAGGTGAACTTCACAGAGATGCCAAATTGTGGAGGTAACACATATTTACTAGCTCTTGTGTGTACATACTCTAAGCTGGTAGAGGCTTATCCGACACAAACTGAAAAAGCTCGTGAAGTAACATGTGTGCTTCTTTGAGATCTTATTCCTAGATTTGGACTGCCCCTACGAATCGGTTCAGATAAACGGACAGCGTTTGTGACTGGCTTGGTGCAGAAGACAGCAAAGGTATTGGGGATCACGTGGAAACTACATGCAACTTACTCACCTTAGAGTTCCAGAAAGGTGGAACGAATTAATCAAACTATTATAAATAGCTGAGGGAAAGTGTGTCCAGAAACAGGATTGAGATTGTTACAGACTCTCTGTATGGTATTCTTTAAGATAAGATGTACTCCTTCTAAAAGAACAGGATATTCCCCTTATGAAATATTATATCATAGACCCACTCCCATATTATGGGGACTCCCAGGCACTCTTCGAGAGTTAGGTGAAGTTAAGTTACAGCAACAGCTACAAGATCTAGGAAAAATTACACAAAAATTTCAGGCTGCGAAAATGGAAGGGGGCCAATTAGTTTATTCTCCCCAGTTCACAACTTCTCCCCAGGTGATCCCATATGGATCAAGGACTGGAATGCAGCCCCCTACGTCCATGGTGTAAGGGACACCAGACTGTCATTTTGACCACTCCCACCTGGTGAAGGTAGAAGGAATCCCAGCCTGGATCCATCACCATCGTGTAACACCTGCAGTGCCTGAGACCTGGGAGGTAAGACCAAGGCCAGACAACCACTGCAAAGTGACACTCAGAAAGATGACAAGGCCTGCTCCAGTCACACTTTTAAGCTGACTGGTATACACATGGTTGAAGCATGAGAAAACTCATCGTGGGACTTACTCTTCTTAAAATTTGGACTTGTATAATAAAGACTGATTATACAATGCTTACTGTGTATGTCTTCCACATGAAAAGTTTCCCAGTTCATGGAAGAGGATCCTCAAAGAATCCATTGCATGAGTGTTTCCTTCTAAACACTGTCATGTTCCCAAAATGGAGGACTGTTCCCTGTGTAATCATCATGTTACTGAGGTAGGGAAACAAGTTAAAACAATCTTTCGGTTTATAGATATTATGAATGCCTAGGAACTTTAAAAGAATATTGCCTGTATAACTTCACTCGGATATGCTATAACACATCTGAATCTCCTATGAACACAGTCTTTGAAATAAGATTAAGAACTCTCCCTTTTCTAAGTGATACAAGTAAAATAATAGCTAAAACAGAAGAAAAATGAATCCCCAAACAAAAAATCTTAAATTCTGATGCTGGTGTCACCATTAATATTAACCATTAAGGATAAGGATGTGGCTCTCTGGACTGAGAAAAAAGTTATCCAGCAGAGAATAAGTATATTTGCCACGAGTTAGGCCAATATGATAAAGCTTGTAATTGCTGGTCTTGTGTCATTTTGGCTACCTGGAAAAATAATGAAAAATATCCAGTATGGCTTCAGAAAGGAAAGGGTGATTCCTCTTGCACAAGCAGCCACAGTAACACCTTAGAACCAATAATCACCAGTCCCCTAGTCCCCCCATTGGAAAAAGGGAAAACATGTAACTCTTGGGATCAATGTAGCTGGACAGGATCCTTGAGTAAATATTTCAGTCAGACAAGAGGTCAAAATGTGTTCTTACAAACCAGTGTTTCAGACTTTCTGTGATGAATTAAATGTGCCCACACCAGAGTTCCCAGGGAAGACAAAGAATTTGTTCCTGCAGTTAGCAGAAACTGTAGTCCATTCCCTCAATATTTCTTCC
Organism: Homo sapiens; assembly: GCF_000001405.40. Lineage (NCBI taxonomy): Eukaryota > Metazoa > Chordata > Mammalia > Primates > Hominidae > Homo > Homo sapiens. The sequence goes on along the minus strand of NC_000024.10, from coordinate 9,282,080 downwards.
TTTTATATATGTGAGGGAACCACTATGGGAGAGCAATGGCCTTAAGAAACCTGAGAATTAGTGCCTACTGATCCAATTCCTGATATGATTACAATCCAGAAGACCAACACTGGCAACTTCTGTGTCCTAAGAACCTCAATTGTTGGGCAGTATTGCATAGCTATAGAAGGAAACAACTTCATCCTCCCTGTGGGAAGGTTCACCTGCCTTGGGCAAAACTGTATAACAGCACAGTAAAAACAGCCATATGGTGGGGTTCAAACCACACTGAGAAAAATCTGTTTAGTAAATTTCCAAAGTTGCAAACCATGTGGACCCACACAGAGTCTCAATGGGACTGGACAGCCCATGCTGGACTATGCTGGATATCTGGGCATACAGCCTACACGATGTTACCTGAAAAATGGGCGGGTAGTTTTGTTATTGGCACCATTATACCATCCTTTTTCCTACTGCCCATGAAAACACATGAAATCCTGGTCTTCCAAGTCTATGCTTCCTGAGAAAAGAGGAGCATAGCTATAGGCGAATTGAAATATATTGAGTGGCTCCCTAAAAGAATCATACAATACTATGGGCCTGCCACTTGGGCACAAGACAGCTCATGGGGATACTGAACCCCCAGTTACATGCTCAACCAAATCATACAGTTACAAACTGTCTTAGAAATAATCACTAATAAAACTGGCAAAGCTTTGAGTCTTTTAGCCTTGCAGGAAACCCAGAGGAGAAATGCTATCTATCAAAATAGATTAGCCCTAGACTACTTGCTAGCAGCTGAAGGTGAGGTCTGTGGAAAATTGAACTGAACCAATTGCTGTCTGCATATAGATCATCAAGGGCAAGTGGTCAAAAATATAGTTAGAGATAGGACACACCTTGCACATCTGTCATCATTTTGGCTACCTGGAAAAAGAATGAAAAATATCGATTGACATTGGTTTGATCCTGGATCAATATTTGGAAAATGGTTTCCAGTGCTAGGAAGATTTAAAACTCTTATAGTAGGAAGAATAATAGTAATAGGAACATGCTTATTTCTCCCCTGCTTGCTACTCATACTCCTTCAAATAATGCGAAGCTTTGTTACTGCCTTTGTCCACCAAAATGCTTCACCACCAGTATATTACATGAACCAATATTGATCTGTCTTGCAGGAAGACCTAGGAAGGGAGGATGAGAATGAGAACTCCCAGTAATAAGTGAGATTCTCAAAGTGGGGAATAAGGAGGGAGACCACCTCTCTTATTGTCTCATACCTTAAAAAAAGAAAAAGGAATCAAAAACTAAAGAAAGGCAGAGATGAATTCAATTGCCAGGCAGAACATGCACGGCACTCCAGGACTGGCAGTTAAAAATCAACCCCTCGCCTAACCGCTTGTATTATCTATAGGTTCCAGACACTGTATGAGGAAGCATCGTGAAACTGTTTTGTCCTCTTCTATCCTGATTACCCATACATGCAGCCCCAGCCACATACCCCATGCTTGCTCAATCAATGACGACCCCTTCACAGGGACCCTCTTAGAGTTGAAAGCCTTTAAAAAGGGCAGGAATCTCTCTCTGGGGAACTTGGTTTTTGAGACAGTTGGCTGATGCTCCCAGATGAATAAAGTCACTTCCTTCTTTAAGCCAGTGTCTGAAGGGTTTTGTCCATGGCTTATGCTGCTACAATGGGAGTACTCCAATGTGCAAGGAACATTTGGAGATTTGGATTGCCAATTGGTGCCATCCTGGCAAACCCCCATATGAGAGCTTTCATACCAGAAGCCAAATGGGAGTGAGAGAGATTGATACAATATAGGATGTAACCTCCATACTTGCCTCTTATATTCTGACTTACCTGTTCCTCATCAGCCTAGGGTATCCTGGGTCTGGCTCAATGTCTTCCTCACTAAACGTTTCCCTGTTCATGGAAGGTGACTCTCAAAGAATCCATTGCATGAGTGTTTCCTTCTAAACAGTGTCATGTTTTAATGACTGGGCATCTGTGATAATTTTAAAACCATAAATTCCTGTTACAGCCACCAACAAGGAGACTCTTGCTCTCCAGCTTTTACAAGAGGGCTGCATGATTCCTGTAGGTGGATAAGTAGGCAGCCATTTCTGGCTTTTGCCTGGTAATCTAGACTCTGTTTCATTCCATCTCCATGTCCTTCCTCACTGTGGAAAGCGTCTTTCATTGGGATTTGCTGGGTTGGGCTACCTCTCACTGCAGATTTATTGGCCTCCAGGGATTTCAGGAAGGACAAGGGACTTTGGGTAGGCTGGCTGCAACCCAGGTTGTGGGTCTTGGTCTCTTAATGGGGGCTGAGGTTGTTTGCACTTTGCAGGAGGCTTTTGGGTTCTCTGACAGAAATCATTGAACATTGCTAGGACTCCAGAACAAGATAGCTCATTCTCTGTGGGAAAGAGAGTTTCTGGGATGCCAGATGACTTCTTCTCCCCTGTGTGAGACACCCATGGGAGCCATGGGTGGCCTCTGAGGAGAAAAGTCTCCTTATTGACTTCATGTCTTTATTCTCAAGAGCATAACAGCTCAGCAGCATGCTACAGGTTGCTCAGGGAAATAACACTCCCTTGAAGCAGTGGTGTATAATCAAACATCTTGTCTTCTACTGAAACCCACTCCCACCCATTTCAGTCCTGATAAGTTATTTTTATTATTTCTATTATAATGTTTTTGAGATGGAGTCTCTCTCTGTCACCCAGGCTGGAGTGCAGTGGTGTGATCTTGGCTCACCACAAGCTCCACTTCCCATGTTCACACCATTCTCCTGCCTCTGCATTCCGAGTAGCTGGGACTACAGGCACCCACCACTGCACCCGGCTAATTTTTGTATTTTTAGCAGAGACAGGTTTTCACCGTGGTCTTGATCTCCTGATCTCGTGATCTGCCCTCCTGGGCTTCCCAAAGTGCTGGGATTACAGGCGTGAGCTACTGTGCCCGGCTGTTAAAAATCTTACATAGTTTAGACACATGCCTTTGCAAGAGGAAATTCACAGAAACCACCACTGCTACACATCTTATTGAATGACTCACGAGTTCTGCTTCACTGATTAATCATTTTCCTCATCCCTTCCTACCCCTCCCATCTGACCTAAGAACAAAGAGCTTGTAAACCAGTAAATTGGGTGGAGATTGAGAGCTCGGGTCCGTGAGCAAGCCTCCAATTCTCTGGTCCCCTGGACCTGCTTTTTAAACTCTCAATCTGCCTCTTTCTAATTCCATTGTCTCCGCTGGACACGGGGTACCTGCCCAGTGGTGTGGGGCTTGTTTCCTCAACATCTGGTGCCCAACACAGTACTCCCTATATCTCTACAAATCATCCAGTGAGGGAAAACCAGAGCGTAGAAAGTGCAGGATGACTGACAAAGGATGTCCGAGTACCTTTTCCCTTCATGCTCTACAGGTAAGTGGGGCACTCAGAGAATTCCAGGGCAACCTCAGGAAAATATGAGTCAGGCTGGAAACAAGTTTGATAATTACTCAAGCCTGGTGCAGCAGTTATTGAGCCATAAAGGAGTAATTATGAGTACCCAAAATCTCACATCTTTTTTCCATCTCATAGAAAAGTATTCTCCTTTGTTCTCAGAATATAGAACCATGAATATAAAAGACTGGAACAAGATCAGATCAGACTTACAAGGAGCACAACAAGAGGGCTGCGATATTCCCTTCTCCACTTGGTCTGTGTGGTCAGCAATTAAAACAGCACTGGAGCCCTTCCACCCTGAGGAGGAGGAGGAGAAGTTTCAGGGTGACATAGAAAAGTTTAATAATCAGGAGTCTGATAATCAGCACAGTGAACCATCACAGTCTAGTTTAAAAAAGGGGGAGAAATGGGAAGGTGTATATGCTAACCTCCAAAAACTTATGAAAGAAAGAGTTCCCCCTACTGCATCTTTAGAGGAAAGTGCAGAACAGCCACCTCCACCTCAGCCTTATGAATTTTTGGAAAGAGGTACTGAGACACAGCTTGCCACTCCCATTGTTGCACGGCCTACCATTGACTATGGTAAAGGGAAGCTTCAACAGCCCAACAGCCAATTACGGTGAGGGAATGATCCAGGCTTGTCCACCTGTTAATTGTGGGAGAAAAATGCTGTGAGCCAGTCCAAATACAAATTATGGTGCAGGGGCAATTCAGGCATCCATTTGACAGGCACAAGAAATGGGGGATTTGGATGCTTGGCAGTTTCTGGTAATTATTTCTCCAGCTCAGGAGCCCAGAGAACATGCTCGGGCCTGCTGGGAGCCATTTTCTTTTAAAATATTAAAAAGCAATTGGACAATATAGGCCAAATTGGACAAGCAATTTAAGCAAGCAATTGGACAATATAGGCCAAATTCTTCTGAGGTTCATTCCTCATTATAATTTGTGGCTTATAACAGGCCCTTAATACCTATGGATTGGGAGTCATTAGCTCAATCCACCCTGTCCCCATCTCAATTTCTCCAATTTAAAACCTGGTGGACAGATGAAGCAACAAGTCAGGCAGGCAGAAATGCTCAGGCCCAACCTCTTATTAATATCACATCTGATCAATTGCTTGGAATTGGACAGGCATTGGGTACTGTAAATCAACAGATGGTAATGGGTGATGAGGCTGTTGATCAGCTCAGAACTATATGCTGAAGATACCAGGAAAAAAATTCATGACCCTGTTACTATTTATCCTTCTTTTAACTCAGTTTGACAGGATCCAAGGGAGATTTATCCAGATTTTATCACCCCATTTGCAAGAAGCTGCTCAAAAGACTATTTCAAATTCTTGTGCCAGGAAAGTGATCATTCAGCTGCTTGCTTATGAAACTGTGAATACAGAATGTCAGGCAGAAATTAGATCTATTAAGGTAAAGGCAGATCTAAATGAGGAAAAAACTGTAAGTGAATATATTACAGCCTGTGATGGCATTGAGGAGCCCTTATATAAGGCCAGCCTCCTTTCTCAGGCAATGGCTGGACAAAGGGTAATAAAAAACACATGAGTGTTCTCTGGATCTTGATATACTTGGGGAAAGATAGGACATGCAAAAAGAGAGTGTACAAAGAGCCAAAAAAGGCAAAACTCAAAACAGGGCATTCCCAATTCAGGGTGGGTCATCCCTGACTCCAAACAGAGTATTCCCAGCCCAGTGTATCCCTGTACAAATGCAGAGCAATTGTCCCCCTCCACAGATAAAAGTGGGGCAGTAGATTTATGCTGCACAAAAGCTCTATCCCTCCTTCCTGGGGAGCCTCCTAGGAAGATCCCAATGGGAATTTACGGCCCATTGCCAAAGGACATGGTGGGACTTATACTGGGAAGGTCCAGCTTAAAATTAAAGGGAATTCAAGTACATACTGGAGTAGTGGGCTCTGATTGCCAGGGAGAAATTCAAATTGTTATCTCCTCCACTGTTCCCTGGAGTGCTAACAGGTGACAGAATAGCTCAACTGTTGCTTTTACCATATGTTAAGTTAGGAGAAATCTCAGAAAAAAAGGATATGGAAGCACAAATTCAGCAGGCAAGGCTCCCTATTGGGTAAATCAAGTCTCTGACAATAGTCCTATTTGTAGGTCACTATTCAAGGAAAACAATTTGAGGCTCTGGTCGATACAGGAGCAGACGTGTCATCATAGCTTTTATCAACGGCCCAAAAACTGACCCAAACAAAAGGCCCCAGTGGGTCTTGTTGGGATTGAGGATTTGCTTATATCTCACCAGGAGAGAATCAACTTCTTGTCTGGGTACCCACAAGACATCTTAAGCTGTGCCAGGAGCCAGAATTCAAGGAAGAGGAAAAGACCTCAGAAAGTCCCTACACCCCCAGTTCATCAGATGGTTCAGATGAACATCTCTGTTGAGCAGATGGAAACCAGTGAAACTTACCAAGCAACTCCACCGACCTGGGGGCAGATGAAGAGACTAGCTCGCATTGAAGAAAAGAACCTGTGGTCTCAGCACAAGCTGCTGACCACCAGTAATCTAATGGTAGCTATGATGGTGGTAATCTCCTTGGTGGTGAGTCTCCCTGCAGAGGGGCAGATCAAAATTACACTTATTGGACCTACATTGCATTCCCACCACTGATTAGGCCTGTTACAAGTTTAGATGCCCCAGTGGAGGTTATGTTAATGATAGTGTCTGGATGCCTGGACCAATAGATAACCAAGGTCCTACTCATCCAGAAGATGAAGGAATATTAATGAAAGTTTCCAGTGGTTATCACTTTCCTCCCATCTGCCTGGGTCCAGCAGCAGGATGTTTAAATTGGATGGTTTATGTCCCTGAACATAATGGATGAAAGACCTCTATTCATGTAATCAGTGGAAGAACATTTCAGTCTTTGGACACTATTAAATACCTTGAGCATGGCTATGTTATGACATATCATCAGATTAATAAATTTAAACCTAATAAGAAGTCCTGCACCAGGCAGGCCACTAAATGGTCTGAAAATCTAGAGGTGCTAACCTGGGAAGTTTGTATTGTAAACAGCACTGCAGTATTGCAAAATAATTCCATTGGAATCATCACTGATTGGGCCCCTAGGGGTCACTTTGCTGTAAATTGTACTAGACACAGCAAAGATTTTGGAGAGGCTCCTTTGCAAACGACTTCCCAGATAATGCACTAAAATTATATAGAAGAATTGAAACAAATTGCCCTATTAAGTGGGAGGAGAATGGTATGGCTCCTCCAAAGCCAAAAATGATTGATCCAATTATAAGTCCAGAACATCCAGAATTGTGGAAATTAATGTTGGCTCAAACCCCAGTTGGGATTTGGAAAGGAGAATATAAAACACGGACTCATAGTGAAAAACTTTGATTTGTTGTAGCCATGATCTCTAATAAGACAGTTCCATTGCAGAGTTGTGTTAAACCTCCTTTTATGTTAGCAGTAGGAAAAGTTAATATCCTACTTGACTCTCAAACCATATCATGCCTCAGCTGTCATATTTTTACCTGCATTAATTCTACCTTTAATAAAGATAATAGCATTTTACTGGTTAGGGCCTGAGAAGGAGTTTGGATACCTGTTTCCCTCAATAGACCTTGGGACACCTCTTCCTCCATATATATTATCACTGCAGTACTAAAAGAAATACTTAATAGATCAAAGAGATTCATATTTACCTTAATAGCTGTCATCATGGGCCTTATAGCGGTCACAGCTATAGCTGCTGCTGTTGGTATAACTTTGCATTATTCTATTCAAACTGTGAGCTCTGTGGATAGTTGACAGGAAAATTTTTTCCAAGCTTTGGAATTCCCAAAGCCAAATAGATCAAAAATTGGCAAATCAAATTAATGATCTTCATCAAACAGTAATTTGAATGGGTGGTCAGATTATGAGCTTGGAGCAGAGAATTCAAATGCAAAGTGATTGGAATACTTCTGATTTTTGTTTCCTCCTAGCTCTTATAATACCACTGAACACCATTGGGAGATGATTAGACATCACCTACCAGGAGAAGATAATTTAACATTAGATCCTGCTAAACGGAAAAAACAACTTTTTGCAGCATCTCAGGCTCATCCTAGCTTGTTGCTTGGAGATGATATTCTTGCTGGAGCCACTGATGGCCTTTTTAACAATAATCCTTTAAAGTGAATTAAAACCATAGGTGGATCATCAACTGAAATATTATTTTGGTTTGTGTCTGTTTATGCTTTTTTTTTTTTTAGTCTACAGTTGCAGACAGCACCTTGGGAGAGAAGACAGACACCGTGAATGAGCTATGATAGCAATGGTGGTTATTAATTAAAAAAAATGGAGACAAAAAAGTGGGACATATGGGAAAGAGAGTTTCTGGGATGCCAGATGAGTTGGTCTCCCCCATGTGAGACTCCCATGGGGAGCCATGGATGGCGTCTGAGGAGAAAATCTCCTTATTGCCTTCATGTCCTTATGCCTGGAGAGCATAACAGCTCGGTGGCATGCCACAGCTTTCACAGGGAAATAACACTCCCTTGAAGCAGTGGAGTATAATCAAATGTCCTGGATTCTCCTGAAACCTACTCCCACCCATTTCAGTCCTGATAAGTTAAATACATTAAGTAGTTTAGACACACTCCTTTGCTCAAGGAAATTCACAGAAACCGCCACTTCGCTATACATCTTATTGAATGACTCATGAGTTCTCCTTCACTGATTAATCCTTTCCCTCATCCCCTTCTACTCCTCCTATCTGCCTATGAACAAAGAGCTTGTAAGCCAATAAATTGGGTGGAGGCTGAGAGCTCCAGGCCATGAACAAGACTCCAATTCTCTGGTCCCCTGGACCTGCCTTTTAAACTCTCATTCTGTCTCTTTCTAATTCCTTTGTCTTCGCTGGACTCGGGGTACCTGCTGGGCAGTGTGGGGCTGGTTTTCCAACAATTCTCTCAAGTGATTTTTTCTCTCTGAGTATAAGGAATCCACAGTGCTCTTGCAACACTACTGGATACCCTTTCCAGGGTGGCAATTGCCACAGATGGCCTCTAAGACACTGTCTCAACCTCATCTGCACCCATGAGAGGCCAGTTCAAAGTGTGAGAACATGTCTCCAACATGTGGTTGGAGACCTTTCTTGTGGTTCTTGCTTATCTGAGAGAGCCCCTGTGAGGCCCAGAATGAAGGGAGGCAGTGAGATTAAGGGCCTGGCCATCTTTTGCTGACACCTGCCTCTGGTGTCTTAGATATAATTCTATTATCCAAAGAACACTGAACAACACAACAGACTATATCCTGATCCCCATAGGATCTGGTCCTTGCACACACATTCTCTTTCAGGAATAGAGTCAGAAGAGCAGTTTCCAGCCACTACCTAAGAGTAATGAAATGTGTACTCCTTCAGCGGGATGAGACCATGGAGGCTGCCCATGGGGCCCTAAGGTCGAGATGTTTAGGGTCTCACAGTGGGTTTTCACAGGTAGCCATTTTCCCGATATGAGGCCAGCTTTGCCTGTGCATTTTCCTCTGCCTAGGCAGGCTGACATCGCTGACAGCTGGGTGCTTGAACCTGCCCCAAGAATGTGCATGTGCTAGTTTCAGGGCACCAGGCATGATGGTGAGTTCTGCCTAGCCTCACAATGTCACCGTTGCCTAGCAACAAGTTCATGCAGCTTGGCAGAGAAAGAGACCTGCTCGGAGGTGCATTGGCGGTGGACTCTCCCCTGTCTTTTCTGTGGGATGCCTGAAGAAACCTCAACCATGATCAGAGGGCTTATGGGAGTCAGCCTGAAGAAACATCAACCACAATCCCACAAATAAACTGCAAAATCCCTAAGCATCCAAAAGGATCTGCAGAATTCCTCAGGCCAGCCTAGAGGTTGTATGTGTTTTGAAACTTATGCCAATGTGATTTCTAGGTACAGGCTGCCTGTGTTCCCTGGGGTTGCTGTCTCTCAGGTGGGGCCTCCTGCGGAACCATGCAAGCTCAGGATCTGCCATGCTGTGTGTTTCCGTGGGTGTGTTGCGAGTGTTTGACGTCGAGTGTGTGTGGCATTTTGTGTGCGTGTGTGCCTGTAAGTGGGGTCTGCTTAAAGGAATGGGGCTAACACACTTCAGTGCTTCTTGTTTTTAGACTCACTACCTTTTGGTGGCCTCTCTGTGTGGCTATGCTTGGGCTGCATGGCTCCGTGTTATTTTTCTGTGGATTGTGAATCCCCAGTGAATTTGGAGGTGGGCCAAGACCCGCCAGCGTCCAAAATCACCTCCCCCTGCAGAAGAAACTACTCTTCTAGAAGAGGAGCACACCACACCAAAAACCAGGCATCTAACAGTGTTTCCATCATCTTGAGGACAACGCAGGGAGAGACACTAGCAGATCTGTCTGCAAGGCCACTTGGATTAACCTCGAATTTGGTTCCCAGCTGCGCACATGCTTCACATCATTGGGGGACACTTCTCCATCTTCTTGGGATTTTATCCTGGAACATAGAGTGTGAGCAGCAATTAGGTCACATGTGGTGAGGATACAATCTACTGAATGGAGAATGGGTTCCAGCAACTTCACCTGCAAAAATAATAATAATAATAAAGACAGATGACACAAAATGTGCTTCTAACTCCATCCCAACATCCGCTTAATTTCAAAAGCAGTCCACACCATGGCCCAGAATTCAGGTGGGAGTATTTCAATGTGCAAAGAATATTTGGAGGGCAAATTGGGGCCATTCTGGCAAACTCCCAATGTGAGTACTTTCATACCCAGAGCCAAATGGGAGTGGAATGGATTGGTGCTGGGTAGGATGTGGCCTCTACACTTGCCTCTTCTTTTTCTGACTTCCATGTTTCTCTCCAGCCTAGGGTTTCCTGTGCCTGGCTCAACGACTTCCACATTAAATGTTTCTCAGTTCATGAGAATGACCCTCATGGGAATCCATAGCATGAACGTTTTCTTCTAAAAATTCTCACTTTTTATTGACGGGGCTGCTCTGATACTTTAAAAACCGTTAATTCCTGTTACAGCAGCAAACAAGGAAACACCTATTCTCCCACTTCTGTCAGAGTGCTGCATGATTCCTGTAGGATGAGAAGCTTGCAGCTGTGTCTGGCTTTTGCCTGGTAAACTAGCCTCTGTTTCATTTCATCTGCGTGGCCTTCTCATAGTGGAGGGGCTCTTGCATTGTTCTGTTGCTGGATAGGAATGCCTCTTCCCACCAATTATTTAGCTGCCAGAGATTTCAGAGAGCAGAAGGGACTTTGGGTCATCTGGCTGCACTCCAGATTATGGATTGTTGTATTGTTGTGGGAGCTGAGGTTGTTTGCACTTTGCATGAGTCTTTGGGGTCTTCTGACAGGAATCATGAACATTGCTTGGACTCCAGCACAAGGCCACTCATTCTTTCAGGTGAGCCTTGATTTTTCTTTGCTTTCATGGAGAATTCACAGTGCTCCTCAACAGCACTACTGGACATCCTTTTCAGGCTTGCTGTCACCACAGGCAGCCTCTGAGATGGTGTCACAACCTCATGTGAACCCATGAGGGGCAAGTTCAAGGTGTGAGAACAGTGTTCATCTTATACTTGCCTTGTCTGGCTTCCTGCCTTTCCCAGAGAGCCTATGCGATGCCCCAGATGAAGGGAGGCAGAGAGGTCAAGAGCCTGGTCATCTTTTGCTGACACCCACCTGTGGGGTCTCAGGTATGATGCTATCACCCAAAAGTACCCTCTAGAACACACCAGACTATATATCAATCGTTATGGGACTCAATTCTTTAACACAGCCTCCTTCGGGAATTGACTCAGAAGAGCAGTTTCCACGACCACCTCATGGTCTTGAAATGCCTCCTCCTCCAGTGGAACACAATCATGAAGATGGCTTGAATAACCCCCAAAGTTGAGACTTTTAGGGTCCTGCAATGTGTTTCACAGGCAGCTTATTTCCTGATACCAGACTGACTCTGCCTCTGCCATTTTCCTCTGCTTAGGCAGGCTGACGGGTCTGAGAGCCAGCGCTAAAACCTGCCTCATTAATGTGCATGCACTAGTCTCAGGGCACCAGGCCTGATTGTGAGCTCTGGCTAGCTTCACAATGAATGCCACCTTTGCCTAGTGACAAGTCCCTGAAGCTTGGCAGATAAAGAGACCTCTGTGGAGGTGCATCAGCAGTGGACTCTTGACTGTCTTCTCTGTTGGATCGATGGGATAGTCCCATGATCCCAGGAAAGGGCAGGCATGAGGCAGCCAGAAGTAACATCAAACAGAGCCCCAGGAATAAACTGTGAAATCCCTGAGAATACAAAACAATCTGCAGAATTCTTCAAACCTGTTTAGACTTTGTAGGGTTGAGTCTTTTTGAAATTGCTCTACTGTGATATCCAGGTATAGTGGCTGTGTTCCCCGAGGTTGCTCTCTGCCAGATGGGGCTTCCTGCAGAACCACACAGCCTCAGGAGCTGCCAGCCTGTGTGTTTCTGTGAAAGTATTGAGAGTGTTGGATGTCTGTGTGTGTGTGTGTCTGTGTGTGTGCGTGTTAGAATATAAGTGGAGTATTCTTAAAGGAATATGGCTAACACATTTTAGCACTTCTTTTTTTTGAGTTTCCCAGCTTTTTGGTGGCTTGTCTGTACAGCACTGCTTGGGCTGTGGGGCTCCATGTTCTTTAGTTTTCTGTGGATCATAAATCCCCAGTGAATTGGGAGGCAGCCTGAGACCCACCAGTGTCAAACTCACCTCTCACTCCAAAAGAAAGCCACTCTTAGAAAAAAGGGGAGCACACCACATGAAAAAACAGTCATCTCTGAGTGTTTCATTGTCCTGCAGCCAATGCAGGAAGATACACTAGCAGTCCTGTCCACAGGGCCCTTGAATTTACCTCAAATTCAGGTCCCAGCCACGCAGTTGCTTCACATCATAAGGGGGCAATACTCCATCGTCTTGGGTTTTCATTTTTGGACATAGAGTGTGAGCAACAATAAGGTCAGACAAGAGTGAGGATAAAATCTGGTGGGAATTGGATGAGATCCCACAACTTCACCTGCAAAAAAATGAAGACAGATGACACAGAAGGTACTTCCAACTCCATCCCAACATTCCCTTAATTGCACAAGCAGTCCACACCATGGCCCGGTGTTCAGGTGAAAGTACTCCAATGTGCAAGAAATATTTGGGGTGCAAACTGGGGTCATCCTGGCAAACTCTCAATTTGCAGGCTTTCATACTGGGAGCAAAATGGGAATGAAATGGATTGATGGTAGGTGGGAAGTGGCCTCCACACTTGCCCCTTCTTTCTCTGACTTCCATGTTTCTTGTCAGTGTAGGGTTTCCTGTGTCTGGCTCAATGACTTCTACAAAACATGTTTCTCAGTTCACAGAGAATGACCCTAATGGGAATCCATTGCATGAGTGTTTCCTTCTAAACCCTTTCACAATTTAATGACTGGGCAGCTTTGATACTTCTAAAACGGTAAATTCCCTTATAGCCGCCAACAAGGAAACTCTTGTATTTTTCACTTCTGTTGGCATTCTGCATGATTCCTGTAGGGTGAGAAGAAGTCAGCCCTGTCTGGCTTTTGCCTGGTAGTCTAGCCTCTGATTTTTTTCATCTGCATAGTCATCTTACTGAGCAGGTATTCTTTCACTGGGCTGTAGCTGGATGGGACTGCCTCTCACCAAAGATTATTTTGCTTCCCGGGATTTCAAAGAGCAAAAGGGACTTTGAGGAGTGTGGCTGTGCTCCAAGTTTCGAGTTGTTGTCTCATTGTGGGGGCTGAAGTTGTTTGCAATTTGGGAGGCTTTTGGGTTCTCTGACAGGAAGCATTGAACATTGCTTAAACTCCAGCTCAGTGCAGCTCATTCTGTCAGGTGAGCATCGATTTTTCTTTGCTTTTATGGGCAATCCACAGTGTCCTTCAACAGCTCTACTGGATATCCTTTTCAGGCTTGCCATCATCAAAGATGACCTCTGAGACATGGTCTCTACCTCATCTTCACCCATAAGAGGTCAGTCCAAGGTGTGAGAATATGGTTCAAACTTTGACTTGCCTTTTTCATGGTTCCTGCATTTCTCAGAGAGCCCCTGCTAGGCATAGGATGATGGAGGTAGTGAGGTCAAGAGCCCAGACATCTTTACTAAAAAATGCCTCTGGAGTCTCAGGTATGATGCTATGACCCAAAGAACCATCAACAACACACCAGACAGACTATATGCCAATCACCATGGGACCCGAGTCTTGAAGACACACATTCTCTTTTGGGAATGGATTTCAAACGGCAGTTTTCAGTGACCACCTCACAGTCTTGAAACACCTCATCCTCCATCAGGACGCGAAGACAGAGATGGTCCAAATGAGTCCTGAGGTTGAGGCTTTTATTGTCCCGCCATGGGTCTTCACAGGCAGCCTTTTTCTTGATAGCAGGCCAGCTCCGACTGTACCATTTTCCTCTGCTTAGGCAGGCTGAACGCTGTTACAGCAGTACACATAAGCATGTCTCAGGAATCCACATGAGCTACTCTCAGGGCACCAGTCCTGAGTGTGAACTCTGTCTAGAGTCACAGCGAATGTCACCGTTGCCTAGCGACAAGTCCCCGCGGCTTTGTGGAAGAGACTCCCAAGGAGGAGACCTCCATGGAGGTTCGTCGGCTGTGGTCTCTCACCTGTCTACTCTGTGAGATCCACAGGATAGTCCCATAATCCTAGGATAGGGAGGACGTGAGCCAGCCTGAAGAAACATCAAGAAGAGCTCCTGCCAAATCCCTAAGGATCAAAAAGCATCTGCATGATGTCTAGATGTTGGAAGGGTGAACCTTTTTGGAACTTGTCTTACTGTGATTTTTAGGTACAGCCCATTTATTTTCCTTGGAGTTGCTCTGTCTCAGATGGGTCTTCCTGCATAATCCCACAGCCTGAGGAGTTGACAGTCTGTGTGTTTTTTTGGGGGTGTTGCAAGTGTTGGATGTCTGCCTGCGTGTGTTTTATTGTGTGTTTGTGTGTGTGTGTGACATTAAGTGGAGTCTGCTTAAAGGAATGTGGCTAAAGCACTTCAGCGGTTCTTTTTTTTTTTTTTTGAGTCTACTAACCTTTTGGTGGCCTGTCTGTATGACTCTTTTGGGCTGTGGGGCTCTGTGTTATTTATCTTTCTGTGAATAATGAATCCTCAGTGACTTTGGAGGCGGACCAAGCCTGCTGGGGACCAAGGTATCTCCCTGTGCAATAAAAGCCACTCTTCTAGAAAGAAGAGGAGCACACCATACCAAAAAAACAGACATTTCCAAGTGTTTCATTTTCCTGCAGCCAACCCAGGGAGAGACACTAGCAGTCCAGTCCTCAGGGCCCCTATATTTACCTCAAATTCAATTCCCAGCTGAGCAGGTGCTACACCATTGTGAGGGGACACTCCTCCCTCATTTTGGGATTTCATCCTGGGACACAGAATATGAGCAGAAATAACATCAGATAAAGGTGAGGATATAATCTGAAGACAAGGGGAAGGGGTCCTGCAACTTCACCTGCAAAAAGATGAAGACAGATGACAGAAGGTGCTTCCAATTCTGTGCCCACATTCCCTTAATTTCACAAGCAGTCTACACCATGTCCCGGAGTTCAGGTGGCAGTACTCCTATGTTTAAGGAACATGTGGAGTGCAAATTGAGGCCATCCTGGCAAACTCCCGATTTAAGGGCTTTCATACCTACAGCCAAATGGAGTGGAATGGTTTGATGCTGGGTGGGATGTGGCCTCCATACTTGCATGTTCTTTTCCTGACTTCCATGCTCCTGGTCACCCTAGGGTTTCCTGGGTCTGGCTAAATGACTTCCACACTAAACGTTTGCCTGTTCCTGGAGAATGACCCTCAGTGGAATCCACTGCATGAGTGTTTTCTTCCAAACACTGTCACGTTTTAATGACTGGGCAGTTTTGATACTTTTAAAACCATAAATTTCCATTTCAGCCACCAACAAGGAAACTCTTATTCTCCCACTTCTATCAGAGGCCTGCATGATTCCTGTAGGAGGAGAAGAAGACAGCTGTGTGTACGTTTTACCTGGCAATCTAGGCTCGGTTTCATTAAATCTGCATGGCTCTCTCTCACTGTGGAGGGGCTCATTCATTGAGCTGTTGCTGGAAGGGACTGCCTCTCACTACAGATTGTATAGCTTCTTGGGGTTTCAGAGAGCGAAAGGGACTTTGAGTAGGCTTACTGTGCTCCAGGTTTTGGTCTATGGTCACGTTTTGGGGGCTGAAGTTGCTGGCACTTTGCAGTAGGCTTTTGGGTACCCTGACAGAAATCACTGAACATCGATTGGACTCCAGCACAAGGCAGCTCATTTTCTCAGGCAAGCCTTATTTTTTTCTTGCTTTCAGGGAAAGTCCACAATGCCTGTTAACAGCACTGCTGGACACAATTTTCATGCTTACTATTACCACAAATGGCCTCTGAGACACTGTGTCAACCTCATCTGCACCAAGGAGAGACCAGTCTGAGGTGTGAGACAACTGCTCCACCTTGGGCTTTCCTCTGTCATGGTTCCTGACTTTTCCAGAGGGCCCCTGTGAGGCCCAGAATGAAGGGAGGCCATGAGGTCAAGCTCGGGCATCTTTCACTGATGCCCATCTCTGGGGTTTCAGGTATAATTCTTTCACCCAAAGAACCCCAACAACACAACAGATTCTATTCCAATCTCCATGGGACCAGATTCTTGCACACAGCCTCTTTGAGGAATAGAGTCTGAAGAGCAGTTTCCAGTAACAACCTCACAGTCCTGAAATGCCTCCTCCTCCAGTGGGAACCAACCATGGAGATGGCCCAAAGGGGCCCTGAGGTTGAGACTTTTAGAGTCTCACAGTGGGTTTTCACAGGCATCGTTTTTCTTGATACCAGGGCGGCTCTGCCTGTAGCATTTTCCTCTGCTTAGTCAGGCTGAGAGCTCTGACATCTGGGTGCCAGAGCCTGCCTTATGAATGTTCATGAGCTAAGCTCAGGGAACCATTCCTGATTTTGAGCTCCAGAGGAGACCTCTGTGGAGGTGCATTGGCGGTGCACTCTTTGCCTGTCTTCTATGTGGGATCCACAGAATAATCTCATGATCCTAGGAGATGGCAGATGTGAGGGAGCCTGAAGAAATGTCAAGCAGAGCCCTAGGAATAAACTGCAAACTCCCTAAGGATCCAAAAGCATCTGCAGGATTCCTCAGATCTGCCTAGATGTTTTAGGGGTGAGTCTTTTTGAAACTTGCCCCTCTGATATTTTTAGGTAAAGCCCTCCTGTGTTCCCCGGGGTTGCTCTTTTCCAGGTGGGGCTTCCTGCAGAAACATACA
This sequence comes from Homo sapiens, assembly GCF_000001405.40. NCBI lineage: Eukaryota > Metazoa > Chordata > Mammalia > Primates > Hominidae > Homo > Homo sapiens. Next base: position 9,265,342 of record NC_000024.10, on the reverse strand, counting down.
GCCTCAGAAGCTGCCAGGTTGTGTGTTCCTTTGGGAGTGTTTTGAGTGTTGGATTTCTGTGTGTGTGTGTGGCATTGTGTGTTTGTGTGTGTGTGCCTGCAAATGGAGTCTGCTTAAAAGAATGTGGCTAACACACTTCAATCCTTCTTTATTTGAGTCCCTCACCTTTTCTTTTGGTTGCTTGTCTGTGTGGCTCTGCTTGGGCTGTGGGGCTCCATGTTTTCTATTTTTCTGTGGATCATGAATACGCAGTGTCTAAATCACCTTCCTCTGGAAAAAAATAAAAAAAAACACTCTTCTAGAAAGAAGAGAAACACATCACACCAACACACCAAAAAACAGATGTCTCCCAGTGTTTCACTGTCCTGCGGTCAACCCAGGAAGAGACACTAGCAGTCCTGTCTGCAGGACCTCTTGAATTTACCTTGAATTCGGTTCCTAGCTGAGCAAGTGCTTCAGGTTGAAGGGGCACTCCTTCATCATCTTGGGATTTCATCCTGGAACATAGAGTGTGAGCAGAAATAAGGTCAGATAGGGATGAGGATACAATCTGGTGAGGAGTGGATGGGGTCCTGCAACTTCAACTGCAAAAAATATATGAAGACAGATGACACAGAAGGTGCTTCCATTCCCATCCCCCTATTCTGTTAATTGCACAAGCAGTCCAACCATGACCTGGTGTTCAGGTGGAAGTAATCCAACATGCAGGGAATATTTGGAGTGCAAATTGGGCCCATCCTGGCAAAGTCTGGATTTATGTTTTTCATACCCATAGCCAAATGGAAATGGGATGGGTTACTGCTGGGAGGGCTATGGCCTCCAAACTGGCCTCTTCTTTTCTTGACTTCCATGTTGCTTATCGGCCTAGGGTTTCCTGGGTCTCTGCCCAGTGACTTCCACACTAAACCTTTCTCAATTCTCAAGAACCACCCTCATGGGAATCCATTGCGTGAGTGTTTTCTTCTAAACCCTGTCAGGTTTTAATGACTGGGCAGCATTGATAATTTAAACCTGTAAATTGCCTTTACAGCTGCCAACAAGGAAACTCTTGTTCTTTCACTTCTTTCAGAAGGCTGCATGATTCCTGTAGGATGAGAAGCAGGCAGCCGTGTTTGGCTTTTGCCTGGTAATGTAGCCTCTGCTTCGTTTCATCTGCATGGTCTTCTCATTGCTGAGTGGATCTTTCATTGTACTCTTCCTGAGTGGGACTGCCTATCACCACACATCTTTTGGTTGCCAGTAATTTCAGGGAGCAAAACGGACTTTAGGTAGGCTGGCTACACTCCAGGTTTTGGGTGGTGGTCTCATTTTGGGGGCCAAGTTTGTTTGCACTTTGCCAGGGGCTTTTGGGTCTTCTGATAGAAATCTTTTAACATTGCTGTGTCTCTGGCACTAGTCAGCTCGTTCTCTCAGGCGAGCTTTGATTTTTCTTTGCTTTCACTGGGGAGTCCACATTGCCCTTCAACAGTGCTACTGGACACCATTCCAGGCTTGCATTCGCCACAAATGGGCGCTGAGACACTGTCTCAACCTCATTTGCACCCGTGAGAGGCCAGTTCGAGGTGTGAAAACACTTCTCCAACTTGGACCTCCTTTTGTCATGGTTCCAGCCTTTTCTCAAGAGCCCCTGTGAGGCCAGGATGAAGGGAGGCAGTCACATCAAGGGCCTGGCCATCTTTCACAGACACCCTCCTCTGGGGTCTCAGGTATGATTCCATCACCCGAAGACCCCCGGAAACTCACCAGACTATATTCCAATTCCCATGGGACTTGATTCTTACACACAGCCTCTTTCAGCCATGGAGTGAGAAAAGCAGTTTCCAGCGTCCTCCTCACAGTCTCAAAATGTGTCCTCCTTCAGCGAGACCAGACCACAGAGAAGACCCGACAGAGCTCTGAGGTCGACGCTTTTAGTGTCCCACAGTGGGTTACTGCAGTCAGCCTTTTTTCCCATAACAGGCCGGCTCTGGCTGTACCATTTTCCTCTGGTTAGGCAGGCTGACAGCTCTGACAGCCAGGCGCCCAACCTTGCCTCGTGAATGCGCATGCGCTAGTCTCAGGGCACCAGACCTGAACTGTGAGCTCTGGCTGATGTCTCAATGAATGCCACCACCATTGCCTAGAGACAAGTCCCTGTGGCTTAGCGGAGAAGGAAACATCTGCGGAGGTGGGTCGGCCACAGACTTTCGCTTGTACTGTTTGTGGGACCCTCAGCATAATCTCATGATGCTAGGAGAATGCTGATGTGAGCCAGCCTAAGGAAACCTCAAGCAGAGCCGCAGGAATTCACTACGAAATCTCTTAAGTGTCCAAAAGGATCTGCAGAATGCCTCAGGCCTACCTAGACTTTGCAGGGGTGAGTCTTTTTGAAAATTATCCCACTGTGTTTTCTAGATACAGCCTGCATGAGTTCCCCAGGGTTGCTGTCTCCCAGGTGAAGCTTCCTGCAGAACCACGCAGCCTCAGGAGATGCCGGGCTGTGTTTTTCTGTCAGAGTGTTGTAAGTTTTGGATGTCTGCATGTGTGTGTGGCTTTGTGTGTTTCGCTGTGGAAAAGACTGCTAGTGTCTCTCCCTGGGTTGGCTGCAGGACAATGGAACACTGGGAGACCTGTTTTATGGTGTGGTGTGCTCCTCTTCTTTCTAGAAAAGTGGCTTTTTTTGTTATTGCTGTTGTTGTTCTGCTGGCAGAGGTGATTTGGACGCCAGCGGGTCATGGCACGCCTCCCAATTTGCTGCGGATTCACGATCCACAGAAAAATAAAGAAAACAAAGCCCCGCAGCCTAAGCAGAGCCACAGAGACAGGACAACACTAGGTTGGGAGACTAAAAAAAAAAAAAAAAAAGGTGCTTAAGTGTGTTAGCCTCATTCCTTTAAACAGACGCCACTTACTGGCACATACACACACACACATACACACACAGGCAAACATCTAACACTTGCAAGTCTCCCAGAGAAACACACAGTCCAGCAGCTGCTGAGGATGCGTGGTTCTGCAGGAAGCCCCATCTGGGAGACAGCAAACTCGCGGAACACAGGCGGGCTGTATCTAGAAATCACAGTGGGGCAAGTTTAAAAAAGACTCACCCCTACAACGTCTAGGCAGGCCTGAGGAATCCTTCAGATCCTTTTGGATTCTTAGGATTTTGCAATTTATTCCTGAGGTCGTGCTTGAGGTTTCTTCAGGCTGGCTCACGTCTGCCCTAGGATCATGGGAGTATCTGGTGAATACAACAGACGAGACGCAAAAGCCCACTGCCAAGGCACCTCCACGAGGTCTCCTTCGCCGCAAAGCCGCAGGGACTTGTAGTTAGGCAACTGTGACATTCGATGTGACACAAGCAAGGGCTCATAATCAGGCCTGAGTCCTTGAGTCTAGCGCATGCGCATTCGTGAGGCAGGCAAGGCCTCCAGGCTAGCAGAACTGTCAGGCTGCCTAAGCACAGGAAAATGTACAGTCAGAGCCGACCTGGTGTTGAAGTAAAGGATGCCTGCAAACACCCACTGCAGGGCACTAAAATTCTCGACCTCAGGGCCCCTTGGGCCATATCTGTGGTTGGGGCCTCCTGGAGGAGGAAGCTTTTTGAGACTGTGAGGTGGTCGCTGGAAACTCCTCTTCTGACTTTATTCTCCAAAGGGGCTGTGTGCAAGAATCAGGTCCCATGGGGACTGGAATATAATCTGCTGTGTTTTTGAGGGTTCTCTGGGTGATAGAAACGTGCCTGAGAACCCAGAGGTGGGTGCCAGTGAAAGATGGTCAGACTCTTGACCTCACTGCCACCCTTCATTCTGGAGCTGTCTGGGAAAGGCAGAAACCATGACAAAGGCAAGTCCAAGGTGGTGCAGTGTTCTCACACCTCGGACTGGCTTCTTGTAGGTGCAGATGAGGTTGAGAGAGTATCTTGGAAACGTCTGTGGTGGTGCCAAGTCTGAAATTGTGTCCAGTAGTGCTGTTAAGGGGCACTGTGTATTCCCCTTGAAAGCAAAGAAAAATCAAGGCTCAACTGAGAGAAAGAGCTGCCTTATGGTGAAATCCAAGCAATGTTCAAAGACTCCTGTCAGAGGACCCAAAAGCCTCCTGCAAAGTGCAAACAACCTCAGCCCCCACAATGAGACAACAACCCACAACCTGGAGTGCAGCCAGCCTACCCCAAGTCCCTTTTGCTCCCTGAAATCCCTGGCAGCCAAAAGATCTGGGGTGAGAGGCAGTGCAATGCAGCAACAACCCAATGAAAGAGCCCCTCCACAATGAGAAAGGACTTGAAGATGAATTGAAACAGAGGCTAGATTACCAGGCAATATCAGACATAGCTGCCTGCTTCTCATCATACAGGAATCTTGCAGCCCTCTGAAAAATAAGTGGGAGAATAGGAGTTTCCTTTTTGGTGGCTGTAACTGACATTTACAGTTTTAAAAGTATCAAAGCTGCCCAGTCATTAAAACACGACAGTGTTTAGAAGGAAACACTCACACAATGGATTCAAATGAGGGTCGTCCTCCATGAACTGGGAAACCTTTATTGTGGTAGACATTTAGACAGACCCAGGAAAACCTAGGCCAATGAGGGAAATGTAAGTGAGGAGAAGAGGAGACAAGTGTGAAGGTCACATCCCACCAAACATCAATCCATCCCACACCCATTTAGTTCTGGGTATGACAGCCCTGAAATTGGGAGTTTGCCAGGATGGCCGAGTATGCACTCCAAATGTTCCCTGCACGCAGAAGTACTCCCAAGCCATGACATGGACGGCTTGTGCAATTAAGCAAATGTGGGGATGCTGTTGGAAGCACGTTCTGTGCCATCAGTTCTTTACTATTTTTGCAGGTGAAGGTGCAGGTCTGCATCCAAACCTCACCAGATTATATCCTCACCCCATCTTACCTTACTGCTGCTCACACTGTTTGTCCCAGAATAAAATCCCAAGACGATGGCGGAGTGCCCCCTCATGACACGAAGCACCTGCTCTACTGTGAACCAAATTCAAGGTAAATTCAAGGGGCCCTGCCTTCAGGACTGCTGGTGTTTCTCCCTGGGTTGGCCACAGGACAATGAAACACTGGGAGATGTTTCTTCTTGGGTGAGGTGTGCTCCTCTTCTTTCGAGAAGAGTGGCTTTTTTTGCAGGTTCAGGATATTTGGACCATAGTGGGTCACAGCCAGCCTCCCAAATCACTGAGGGTTCTTGATCCACAGAAAAATAAAGAACACAGAGCCCCACAGCCCAAGCAGAACCACACAAATAGGCTACCAAAAAGTTGAGAGACAAAAAAAAGCACTGCAGTGCGTTAGCCTAATTCATTTAGTTAGACTCCATTTAACACACACACATACACACACACCACAAAGCCACACACACATGCAGACATCCAAACTTACAACACTCCCACAGAAACTACAGGCCTGCAGGTTCTGAGGCTGGGTGGTTCTGCAGAAATCCCAAACTGGGAGAGAACAACCCCAAGTAACACAGGAGGGCTGTACCAAGAAATCACAGTGGGGCAAATTTCCAAAAGATTCACCCCTTGAACATCTAGGCAGGCCTGAGGCATCCTGCAGATTTTTTGAATCCTTAGGGATTTTGTGGATTATTCCTGGGCTCTGTTTGACCTTTCTTCATGATGTCTCACATATGCTCTCTCCAAGGATAATGGGACTATCCTATGAATCCCTCAGAGAAGACAGGTGAAAGAAAGTTCACTGCCAACACCCATACACAGAGATCGCCCTCTTCACCAAGCCTCAGGGACTTGTTGCTAGGCAATGCTGTCATTCATTATGATGCTTGCCAGAGCTCAGAGCTCTGGCCTGGTGCCAGGAGACTAGTGCATTTGCATTCTTGTCACAGGCTCAGCAGCCCATCTGTCAGAGCTGTCAGCATGCCTAAGCAGAGAAAAATGGTATAGGCAGAGCTGGCCTGGTGTTGGGAAAATGGCTGCCTGAGATAATCCACTGAGAGACCCTAAAACTCTTGACCATAGGTCTTCTTCAGGCCATCTTGCTGGTCAGGTTTCACTTGAAGGAGGAGGCATTTCAAGACTGTGACCTGGTCACTGGAAACTGCACCTCTGACTTCATCCCTGAAAGAGTGCAGAAATCAGGTCCCATGGTGATTGGAATATAGTCTGGTGAGCTGTTGAGGGGTCTCTGGTTCATGGAGTCATACCTGTGACCCCAGAGGCAGGTGTCAACAAAAGATGGCTGTGCCCTGAATATCATTGCCTGCCTTCATCCTGGGCCTCGCAGGTGCTCTCTGGGAAAGGCAGGAACCACAACAAAGGCAAGTCCATGGTGGGGCAGTGTTCTCACACCTCCAACTGGCCTCTCATGGGTGCAGATGAGGTTGAGACAGTGTCTCAGAGGCCATTTGTGGCAATTGTAAGCCTGAAAATGGTGTGCAGTAATGCTGTTTAGGGGCAATGTCTACCTTCCATGAAAGCAAAGGAGTGAGTGAGAGAATAAAGGCTCGAGTGAGAGAATCAGCTAACTTGTGCTGAAGTCCAAGCAATACTGAAAGGCTTCTTTCAGAGAACCCAAAAGCCACCTGCAAAGTGCAAACAACCTCAGTCTCCAAAATGAGACCACAACCCACAACCTGGAGTGCAGCCAGCCTACCTGAAATCTCTTTTGCTCCCTGAAATCCCTGGGGGCTAAAAGATCTGTGGTGAGAGGCAGTCCCATACAGCAACAGCCCAATGAGCAAGGACATGCAGGCACAATGAAACAGAGTCTAGATTACCAGGCAAATGCCAGACATGGCTGCCTCCTACAGGAATCATGCAGCCCTCTGATAGAAGTGGGAGAACAAGAGTTTTCTTGTTGGTGGCTGTAATGGGAATTTACAATTTTAAAATACCACAACTGCCCAGTCATTAAAACATGACAATGTTTAGAAGGAAACACTCACACAATGGATTCTCATGAGGGTCATCCTTGGTGAACTGGGAAATGTTTAGTGTGGAAGACATTGAGCCAGACCTAGGCTCCCAGTATGAAAGCCCTCAAATTGGGAGTTTGCCATGATGGCCCCAGTTTGCACTCCAAATATTCCCTGCATGTTGGAGTACTCCCACCTGAACAGCAGGCCATGGTGTGGACTGCCTGTGCAGTTAGGAGAATGTGGGCATGCAGTTGGAAGTACTTCTGTGTAATCTGCCTTCACTTTTTTTCAAGTGAAGGTGTGGGACCCCATCTACCCCTCACCAGATTGCATGTACACCCCTAACTGACCTTACTGCTGCTCACACTCTGTCCCAGAATGAGATCTCAAGATGATAGAGGAGTGCCCCCTCATGAAGTGAAGCTCCTACTCAGCTGAGAACCGAATTTGATGTAAATTCAATGGGCCCTGCAGACAGGAATGCTAGTATCCCTCCCTGGGCTGGCCGCAGGACAATGAAACACTAGATGTCTCTTCATGGGTGTGGTGTGCTCCTCTTCTTTCTGGAAGAGTGGCTTCTTTTGCAGGGGAAGGTGACTCCCATGGAAGTTGTTGCATATGACTTGTTTGTTCCATATGACTCCCATGGAAACACATGGACTTCTTGTTCCATATGACTCCCATGGAAACACACCGCCTGGCAGCTTCTGAGGCTGTGTGGTTCTGCAGGAAGCCCTAAACAACTTCCATATGGAAGTTGTTCCATATGACTTGTTTGCTGATGCTAATGTTAAGTATTGTTGTGAAACTGATGCCTGCAGTTTCCTGAGCCAAAAGAGGAAAAATCTTCTCCTTAGAAATTTTTCAACAGAAAGGCCATCCAATTAATTAGAAGACCCTTAGCAAAAATACTGTTGATGCATGTGGCCTTTTCTGCAGAAAGATGCGCAAGATATGAAAAGAACAATAGCCTCAGGCAGTACACTCAGCAGATCAGACTGTAAAATGTGAAAAAACTCACTCTGAATATTTCTAGCATAGGCTGGCTCCCTGCAGGTCCTGATATTGACCCTGAATCATGCTGCTTAGACTTTCATTGCAGATGAAATAAGTGGCCAAACACGTATGTATGTGTATGTATGTGTGTATTTTTATACACACACAGATATATACATATATATGTCATATATACACACACATATATGTCATATATATGTATATATGTCATATATATGTGTGTGTGTATATATATATATATATATATGACAGAGCCTCCCTTTGTTTCCCAGACTGGACTGGTTGGCAGCAGCTCAATCTCTGCGCACTGGAGCCTCAGCCTCCTGAGCTCAAGTGATCCTCCTCAGCAATTCTCTAGCCTTAGCTTCCAGAATAACTGGGACCACAGGCACACACCACCAGGCCTGGATAATTGTTTGTATTTTTTTGTAGAGACAGGGTTTCACCATAGTTTCAAACTGGTCTGGAATGCCTCAGTTCAAATGATCCACCCACCTCAGCCTGGAAAAGTGATGAGATTACAGGCATGAGCCACTGCACACTACCACACATATTTCTAAATATTTTAAAATATTAATTTTGGCTGGGCGCGGTAGCTTACATTTGTAACCCCAGCCAACATGGGTGGATCATGAAGTCTGGAGTTCCAGACCAGCCTGGTCAATGCAGTGAAACCCTGTCTCTACTGAAAATATAAAAATTAGCTAGGCAGGGTAGTGGGTGTCTGTAATCTGGGCTATATGGGAGGCTGAGGCAGGAGAATTTCTTGAACCTGGTAGACAGAGGTTTCAGTGAGCAGAGACCATGCCAATGCACTCTAGCCTTGGTGACAGAGCTAGACTCCATTTCAACAAAACAAATTAATTTTTACTTGTATCATGCTGCATGAGAACAATGCAATATAATTAAGGGCAGATGAGTAGATAGAAACTTACTTTCATGGATTATCGTTCTTAACCCAGTAATTCTCAATTTTGAATGCATATTAATGTTATCTGTTATCTAAAGCTTTCAAAAGTTCAGTTGTCCAGGATCCATTGATCACCATACATTCTGATTTAATTGGTCTGGGATAGATCTCAGATGTGGTATGCTTTTTGTAAACTCCCCAAGTAAATCTAAATTTTTTCTATGATTGAGAAACATTTCTACTCATTGAAGACTGCCATTCTGTTGTAAGCTATTAAGGAATCAAACAGTTCATGTAGTTGTTGAGGAGCTTTTTCTTCCCTTCTAACATTGATTTTTCTTTTACGAAGCTGTAAGCTTGAGGTTTGAGCACTCCACACTCAACATCTACAGTGAATGCTAGTGAAACCTTACAGTCAGAATGTTTTATAATATTCCATTGGGTGCTAACTGTTCCACTTGTATTTGTTAACAGTTAGAAGAGGGTGGACATAAAATGCATAATTTTAATCAATCATGGTCTTGTCTCTGAGTAAACAAAGTGCATGACTGACATTTGTGATACTTCATGCTTTATCCCAGGCTATCTTCTTATCTTCTATTTTCTTTTTCTATTTTTTTTTTTGAGGTTGAGTTTCACTGTTGTTGCCCACGCTGGAGTGCAATGGTGTGTTCTCAGCTCACCGCAACCTCTGCCTCCCAGGTTCAAGCAATTCTCCTGCCTCAGCCTCCTGAGTAGCTGGGGTTGCAGGCACCTGCCACCATGGCTGGCTAATTTTTATATTTTTAGTAGTGAGGGGGTTTCTCCTTTTGGGCCAGGCTGATCTCAAACTTCTGACCTCAGGTCATCCACCAGCCTGGGCCTCCCAAAGTGTAGGATTACAGGTGTGAGCCACAGGGCCTGGCCTTCTATTTTCATCTTACACCATGTCTGGTTAATCTTCCAGCTTATGCTTCAGGCACCCTGAATTATGTTTTAGTCAAGCTGATTCCAATAATGCACAAACTTTTGTGTCTCCACATTCGTGCACTTGCTGTTTCTTCTGTTTGGCCTCCCCTTCCCTTTTTGTTTGCCTAAAACATTCCTACTCATTCTCCTCTATCCAGAGCTCTTGATAATGCACATTCTGTGTTAGTAAGTAAAATATATGTGTAGTTTTGTTATATAAATTTTTACTGAAAGAATCATCATAAATTTCATTACATCCTTAATAAGTGTCTATGACCCCATACATATTAAGATTCATTTGTTTCTGCCTTTAGTCAAATGTGACACAAAGAAAGGATACCCTGAGATCTCCTCATTTTCAACTGCCCAAAACAAGTTACCTGTCACAGATATTCTGTCCCTTTTCTCAGTTTTTATGGCACTTTACATAACCCTCCTTTTTTTTTTTGAGATGAAATCTCACTGTGTCACCCAGGCTGTAGTGCAGTGGTTTGATCTTGGCTCACTGCAACCTCCACCTCCCAGGCTCAAGTGATTCTCCTGCCTCAGCCTCCCAAGTAGCTGGGACTACAGGCGTGTGCCACCACACCTGGGTAACTTTTTGTATTTTAACTAGAGATGGGGTTTTACTGTGTTAGCCAGGATGGCCTGGATCTCCTGACTGCATGATACCCCCACTTGCCCTCCCAAAGTGTTGGGATTACAGGCATGAGTCGCCATGCCTGTCATACATATCTCTCTTCGTACATCATTTTTATTTGTCTCCCTTTGGACTGAGCTATCACTGAAGGCAGAAACAAGGTCTTATTCACCTTTGATCCCAGAACTTAGCACAAATAGATCATTTCAGCTGGGAGACTGTTGAAGCTTAAGTCAACTTGCCTGGAATTTAAAGGTTTTCATATACTAAATTTCTGAGGATACAGTGCTTTCATCTTCTAACTGTTACTCATACATTTCAATTTCTGACCAGTCATTGCCCTTCTTCTTGTAACAATGTGAATACTAAGAAATACAACATTTCTCCATAATAAAATATGAAAATCTTGAACTGTGATAGTTTGACACAAACAGAATCAGTATGGTGCTATTTTCTTCTCCAAGATAATTTCTTCCAATACTTAAATTGTATGTGTTATAGAAAGAAAAGAAATAAGTGAAACAAAGGGGAATAAATTGTTGGCAAAATAATTCAATAAAAAGTCTCAGAACTTAATGATGCTCAATTTGCAGATTAAAAGGCTAGCACCTAGAAAAACAGATGAAAATAGACTCATGTCAAGATATATCAATGTAAAATTTGAGAACACTGAAAACAAAGAGAAAATTGAATGTTTCCAGAGGGGTAAAAATAGGTCAGGTACAAAGGATGAGGAATCAGATGATTTGAAAATTTGCAACACTGGACAGGAGTGGTGGCTCATGCCTGTAATCCCAGCACTTTGGGAGGCCAAGGCACACTTTGGGAGGCTAAGGTGGGCAAATAACCTGAGGTCAGGAGTTTGAGACCAGCCTGACCAACAAGGAATAACCCCATCTCTACTAAAAATACAAAATTAGCTAGGTGTGGTGGCACCTGCCTGTAATCTCAGCTACTCAGGGGGCTGAGGCAGGAGAATTGCTGGAACCCAGGAGGTGGAGGTTGCAGTAAGCTGAGATCACACAATTGAACTCCAGCCTGGCAACAAAAACAACACTCCACCTCAAAAAAAAATTCAACACCATCACTGTAAACCAGAAGGCAATGGAGTTATGCTTTGAAAATTCTAAAGGAAAATGATTTCTGACATATGTTTCTATTTCCACATAGACTACAATTAAATGTCCAAGTAGAAAACATACATTTTTCAGACATATGACATCTCTAAAATTGTGTCTCCCTGTGAACCTTTTCTCAAGATGCTACTAGAGAATTTTTCCTACCAAAAGGAAAAAGTAAACCAAGAAAGACAAAGATGTGGAATGGCAAAAATAGGAGACATAACACAAGAGAGATAAATTCTTTAAAGTGTGGTGAAGGAAAATCCTAGGATGAGAAAATTGAATCACGCCTAGAAGGCAACCAGTCAAGACTGTTGCAAGGAAGCAGCCAACAAGAGAATGTTCTTCAAGGTGAGAGCATTTATAGAACAAATGATGTGAATAAAAGTCTTGATATGAGATTTTAAAATTAGTAAAGAATTTTTGATTGAGTTAACACAAATTAAAATAAAATTAAGTTGAAATGGAACAACAAAATTAATGACAAATATTTCTCAGCAATTCATTACACAATAGAAATTTAAAAGTACTTAGAACTTAATGATATTGAAAATATTACAGATCAAATTTGCGAGTAGCAGGAAAAGTGATATTGCAATAGGAGTTTATACACTTAAGTGTTTTTACAACAACCTCAAAATTAATGTACTATGTATTTAAATAAAGAATTAGAAAAGAAACAACAGAATCAATTCTGAAAAACTAAAATGAGGGGATAATGATGTACAGAAAATTAATAAATCATACAAAGATAAGGTTTGATTGTTGGAGAAACATAATAAAAGGTGCAAACCTCAGGCAAGTTAAGAAAAAAAGGGAGAAAGCACAAATAAAACTAAGAATTAAAAAGATACATAACAATAGATACAGTACAGGTTAACAAGCTAATAAGCAAATATGATTAACACTTTATGCTACAAAGTTGAAAACTTAGATCAAATAGACTTTTATAAATATATAGCTAAGAAAAATTGATAAAAGAATAAGTGTGTAATCTGAATAGTCTCATAAATGTTAAGGGAAATAAAGGATTGTTCCTACAGATAAAACACTAGGCCCATATTTATTTTCCCAGACAGAGCATTTCAATATATGTGAAGAACTCTATAAAATAAAAAAGGGAAAATCCTAAACTTATTCTGTGAGGCAAGCAGAACTTTGACACCAATGTCACATAAACTGAGTATACAAAAAGATATTTTTTAAAAAGTCCATTATCATTCATGAAATAAATGGTAAAATCCCAAAAGTGGATTCCTTGAGGGTTAGGATGAAATTTACTATTGCCAGATCCTGCTACTTTGGGATAGCTCACACACAAATTGATGTTTTGAGTTTTTCTGCAATACCCAAGCAATATGGAACTGGCTTGACAATCTGTGTGATGGCCAGCCTGTGGCCATGACTTCTCAGGCACACAATTTTTTTTCTGTTTTCCTCCTTATTCTACTCATCTCCAAGATAACTTTGGCCAAAGTTCTTTGAGCTTGGAAATAGGAATGGGTTTACTTCTGTTTCACACTTACCATGAAGATACAGTCCTATGGAATTCCAGATCCATTTGGAGAGAGTTGGCTATTAAACTCTTTTCATAAGTAGGCCCTGGGCCTTGACTACAGTCTTTCTTGAGATATGAGGCTGAGAGTTCCTTCCTGGCCTGACAGTTTTTGACATGATGAATGTTCTTTCCATTCAGAATTTTTAATTGTTTGGGAGGTGATATAGTTTCATGTGCCTCCCTTCAAATCACAACTTCAATTGTATGTCCCAGTATTCTCATGTTTTGAGGATGGAACCCAAGGAGAGGTGACTGAATCATAGGGGCTGGTCTCTCAAGCTATTCTTGTGATAGTGAATAAGACTCACAAGATCGATGGGTTTAGCAGGGGTTTCTGCTTTTGCTTTTTCCTCATTCCCTCTTGCCACCGCCATGCAAGAAGTGCCTTTATTCCTATGCCATGATTCTGAAGTCTCCCTAGCCACGTGGAACTGTAAGTCCAATTAAACCTCATTTCCTTCCCAGTTTCAGATATGTCTTTATGAACAGCGTGAAAATGAACTAATACAGGAGGATTGGTCCAAATAACCTGAGCTTCCAATATAGAATGTGGAAGTTGGTGAAGTTTTTATCATTTCTGTGGCAAATTTTAGTAGTGGGTATTATTTTTCTAATTTTTTTTTTTGTTCTTTTCACCTTTGTTTCTCATAGGGTACTGTCGCTCTGTAGCACAGGCTGCAGTGAAGTGGCACAATCTTGTCTTACTGAAACCTCAGCCTCCTGGGTTCAAACAACAATCTTACCTCAATCACCTGAGTAGCTTGGATTACAGGCATGCATCACCATGCCCAGCTAATTTTATATATTTTTAGTAGAAATGGGGTTTCACCGTGTTGGCCAGGCTGGTCTCAAAATCCTGACCTCTGTTGATCTGACCACCTAGGCCTCACAATGTGCTGGGAATACAGGCATGAGCCACTGTGCCCAGCTGACTCCAATATTTTTACCTAAGTTCTGTTGCCTTATTTTATTTTATGAGACAGGTTCTCACTCTGTCATGCAGGCTGGAGTGCAGTGTTGCGATCTGGGCTTACTGCAACTTCTGTCTCCCAGGTTCAGGCGGTTCTCCTGTCTCAGCCTCCTGAGTAGCTGGGACTACAGGAAAGTGCCACCAGGCCTGGCTAATTTTTGCATTTTTCATAGAGACATGTTTGCCATGTTGCCCAGGCTAGTCTTGAACTCCTGACCACAAATGACCAGCCCACCTCGGCCTCCCAAAGTGTGGAAATTACAGCCATGAGCCACCACGTCTGGGCTGGAATAGCCATTTTTTGACATAGAAAATCTCTGGAGGTAAAAGTTTGGTTTGTGGGAGCACCTGAGCTCAGTTTGGCCCATAAGTTTGGGACACCTATTATTTACTGTCAGTGATGATATATTGTTAATGTACAATATGTTCATGCACATAGCATATGTATATGCTTATCAGATATTTTCAGGTGAAAAATAGTCAGTCCCATAGTTTGAGCCATTATAACAATTTCTACCTAGGGATTTCACAGTCAGATTCCAGTTCTGGGCAACAGTGCTTAACATAATGGTTATTAATGAGAAGAGATTTTGAGATGTCCAGCCATGTTTAGATGTCAGTGCCTTGAAGGGATGGGTTTGCAATATTATTAAGAAAGAGTGCATTGGACTGCATATTAAGAAACATATTGAATTTTTTTTCTTGTCCTCTATAACATGAAAGGTCAATTAGAGATATAGAAACAATTGAATATTTCACAGCATGGCTTGACATTTCACTGAACTTTTATCCTTTTAACCATGTAAAAAGTTTATTAAATATGCAAAGGTAGGACTTCTATAGGAGGAAAGAGGAGTCAGAGGTCACAATCCACAGCAAGGTGACTGTCTCTTGTGGATGGTACCCTGAGAAATGAATTCGAGTGAGCATCAAGTTTCAGGTTGCCAACAGGGATCAGGGAGAATGAAGCTATCAGCAGTTAACATTATTGGATTAATTGAAATATTGACAGAGACTTTGTTTGCTTCCCATCGAATTGAGTACAGATAAGGTAACCTCATCAAATTTCACACATGAAATTACATAAATTTTTATGTACATGTGCAAACTCGCAGTGTGCAAATGTGTGTCTATATCTAAAGATATACAAATCCATTGACCAACAGAAAGTTAGAAATTTTCTCCCATTTTACCATTCCCTTTCCAGGAATTTTGTCACAAGTACAATTTTTCTATGTTTTAAGCCTACTCTGTGGAGGCATGAAATATATGGATACAGTAAAGCTATAAGATATCACAGTGTTTGTATCAGAGAAAAAAAACACTGGTGTTATAAATGATTCATTGTGAGGAGAAAGTTATACTTCACATTACTACAAATACAGAAGTACGATTTCTTCAAAAGCTGAAATCTGTCAATAAAATTTGTTTTTAATGCTTTATTTAAAATACTTAATTTCAAAAGTATTACTCAAATGGAATAAAGGTATTGGTAATAAATACTTTTGAAGAATTCCTTTTAATATGTTGATTATTCAAAATATAACTAAAATACTAAAAAGTACTGTACAATGTAGTTTCATGAAGCGTTCTTTATGGTTTTCATAAAATTAATAGTCAATGGAATATTTTGAGACTGAGAAAGTTCCATATATTATTGCAATGTACTTTCACTTTATTACTTGCTTGCATGTCATAACTGATGGAAATGAAAATATTTATATTTACACATATAAAAATGTATTTTTGTTCATGTTTTCTAGTGAGATAAAGTTGCCAATAATTTTATCAATCTAGGAAAATTTTTATAAGCCCAAAATTCTTAACTTTCTTTTCTTTTGAAATTTCATATTTCAGTCTAGGTATGAGATGGAATTGACTGTGATCATTCTTTGATTTCACTATGATTACCAAGTTTCTGATACAGTGCTAGGAACATATAGACTTTAAATCTTGCTTTCTTCTTCTTCTTCATCTACCGTTGGAACTGTATATATGATTTCTGCAGTAATGGGCATCATTATCTGACATATGGTTGCTGAAAGATACAAGCATAAATAGAATTCTTAGTTTCAGTGAATCTTTAGGAACAGACAATTAAAACTGAAAGATAATTATGGTATGAATGTTAGTAAGCTCTTTATCACAGAGGGTGAAAATAAATTTAAAAACACATACCTCATGCAGAACATGAGGTAGTAAAAATAAAAAAATTAATTTGACATAAAGAACAGTTTAAAAGTTGTGATTATTTCTGGTGAGAGCAAGTAGCTCAGAAACTATGAGGAAGTCCTGCAAAGCTACATGATGGATTTGCAAGTGAGGATGGGGAGCCTGGTTCTGGGGGAGGGTTCCAAGTCCTGGTCAGGTTGAGGTCTTTCTGGGGTTCAGGGATGTCTCAATGGGAGAGCTGGGAAGGGAAATCGCATGCTTCGCCCCAGCCAGCAGGCCCCCTCAGCTGACCTAGATGAAATTGTCCCTTGACCATCCTCTTTCTCCTTCTTGGACAGGCAGGTGGAGGAACTCAGCCATCCTGAGTAGTGGCAGAAGGATGAAGTATGCCTTTCATCACAACATTTACTTCCACAATGAAGTGATCATTAAGGAGTATTGCATTGGAATTCTCAATAAGGAGTGCCTCCCCGCATGGTAGAGGGGGTGGTATGTGGGAAGCTAGGTTTGGCATGAGCCTTCCCAACTTCTCTCACTCCAGGATAGAGGGTGACTGGCTCCACTGTGTCCAGTGGTTCTAGGATCATGCAGGTGAAGGCCCCAGTTTCAGGCAGGACACACCTAACTGAGTTTCTTCAGCTGGTTGGCTGATGGTGACTGCCCAGGGTATGATGGGTTGCTGAGGTGGGGTGGTGGTGGGGCATCATGGGAAAGGACCTTGCTGGTCCACTTGGCATCGGAGGAATTGGCTTTGAACCAGAACCTGACCTGTCATGACCACTTTGCCCAGTCCCCCAGATCATCAGCCAGGGCCTGTGGCTCAATCTCATGCAGCGCTACCCAAGGGAGTTAGGCCCTCAGAGAGGGAACAGAGAGGAGGCTGGGGAGCAGCCTCCTGTGGGATGAGAGGCCTGTGGGTCCTGGAGCTAGGACACATAGCGAAGCCAAGGCTCAGGGACTGCGGTAAGCATACTCAGACCATGCATGGGCTGGGGGAGAAAGGCCCATCAGGGAACTGTAGTACCCACATTTCAGGATTGGGGAACCCTAAGCTGCTTAAGAGGCATAAGTAACTAAGGTCAATGGGTGAGAAGCCAGGCTCAAGGAATAGCTGCCTCATTATCCCTTGTAATCTCACTTCCCTGCCCTGAGGACTGCTACCATCTAAGGCTCAGTTTGGACTCAACCAGGGTGCTCTCACCCTCCACACAAATGCCCACCTGAGGCCCATCTAGGTCTACATCCTCCCAGAATAGCTCTCCCAGACCTGTCAAGTTCTGTGTCAATGACTCCACGGTCCCCTGACATGCTGTTTCCCCTCTAGCATCCTCATTCACCCATCCTCTGCCATGGCCAGAAAAGACAGGTCACCACACAAGGAATTTGGAGGATGACACATGTTTCACAGGGGAGGAAATGTGAAGAGATGGCAAAATGGAAGGGGACCTTCTGTGTGTGTTCAGGAAGGCAATCCTGCTGGACATTAGGACCCACCTAAGTATTAGTGAGGACACCGCGTGTCTCTCGGCCCTGAGCATGTGCACACGAAAACAGACATTGTCTAAATGGCATTGACATCACTACTACCTAAGTGGTCTACAGATTCTGTACAACCCCTGTAAAAGTATCAATGACCTACTCTTCATAGAAAAACAATCTGAGAAGCCTAAGTTTGCTATGAAATGGTAGAAGATCCTGAAGACCCAGAGCAATCCAGTAAAAAGCACAAAGCTGGAGGCTTCACACTACCTAACTTCACAATATGCTACAAAGTTTTATGCACCAAAATAGAACAGCACTGTCAGACAAGCAGAGACATGAGCTAATGAAAAACAATCTGGTCCCAGAACCAAGTCACTGCATTTGCAGATCAGGACCTTATCCCAAAGAAGCAAGAACGCACAATGCAAAATCAGGTATCTTCTATAAACTAGGTTGGGGAAAACCTGAATATCCACATAAAGGATTTTAAGAGTAGATTATGTCTCACAGAACTCGAATGTCAGACCAGAAACCATAAAAATACCAGAAGAAATCACAAGGAAGAAGCTCTATGACATCGGTGTGGGCAATGGTGGTCTCAAAGTGACTGCAGGAACACAGTAAACACCTTCAAAAATATAAAATCGGGTTATGTCAAGCTAAGGTGCTTCAGTACACCAAAGGAAACTGAAGAGAGGGAAGGGACATCCTACAAGATGGGTGAAATTATTGAATCACTATACATCTGTTAATGGGTGAATATTTACAGTACATAAGGAACTCCAACAATTCAATAGCATGAAAACAAATGGACTAAGGATATGAATGCTCATTTGTGAAACTAAGACATACAGTTGCCCAGAGGACACAGTAAAAAGCACTCAGCATCAGTAATCCATCAGGAAAATGCAAATCAAAACCACAATGAGATTTCATCTCACTTCAATCAGAATGCCTACATGAGTATGTAATAAAAAAGCCAAAGTTTTCACTTACCCTTTTTAATTGCTCTCCCAGAGGGCATAACTGAGAAGTCATGGTGTAAACTTTCATTATTTTTCTTTAAATATACATTGACATATTCATACAAATATGCATGAATACCTAAAATATATTGCCATGAAAATAAGAACATTTTATGAGATCCAAAATTCTGGAGGACTAAGCAGGGAGAAAAAAGATACATGTGTTCATGAAAGGAGTCAAACTCTGCAAAATATTTAAAGAGATTTTTTCTGAGCCAAATATGGGTGACCAATGGCCCATAACACAACCCTTCTCAGAAGATCCTCAGAACATGTGCCCAAGATGGACTGGGAACAGCCTAGTTTTCTGCATTTTAGGGAGACACGAGATATCAATCAAATACATGTAAGATGTACATTTGTTTGGTCCAGAAAGGTGGGACAACTTGAAGTGAGTGGTGGTGCGGGGCTGGGCTTTCAAGTTATAGGTATATTTAAATACATTCTGATTGGCAGTTTGTTGAAAGAGTTATTTTCTGTAGACATAGAAACAATGGATAGGAATGACTGGGTTGCAGTAAATAATAGGGAGCATAGAGACAAAGTTTATCAAGATGAGGAAGACTCCATGTGGCAGACTTAAAAGAGAATAGGTGGTAAATATTTCTTGTCAAACTTAAGGTCTGTGTTGATGTTAATGATGGTCAACTTTCCCTAAATTTCAAAAAGGTGGAGTGTATAATGAAGCATGTCTATCCTTCTTTCCTCTCAGGACCTGAACCAATTTTAAAAGGCCCTTGGCCAAAAGGAGGGGTCCATTCAGATGCCTGTGGTGGGCACGTTTGAGGGGAAACTTAAAATTTTATATTTGATTTGTAAGTCTTTCACTTATGTCTACAAAAATGTAATCTATTAAATAGTTAGCCTAAGAGAAAAAATGGGGATTCTTAAACACAGAAAAATAGAATATTAAAAAACCAACAATTTGCCAAACCAAAAACAAAAGCTGTAAAATAATCATTCTTCATCAGCTCATTAAATACCATGTAATTGATTCCAGTCTTATTTGATTTTGTATTAGCAGTTCCATGAGACCATCAGTTTCTCCACTAGAGTTCTGGATATCATTACTCAGTCCCATAGTATAACCATAAAATTATTGAATCTTTGACATCAGATGCTTGTGCCCAGAGGACCCATTACAGTTGTTTCCATGGGTCTCAGAGGCAGTGCTTTGTTGGAGACAAACATTCTGACCTCTAGCCAATGCAGATGCAAAAGGAAAAGCATGATATTGAAATAATAACTACCTGCAAATTAGAAAAGGTGCAAAATGGCCATGATTAAAAATCTAATGACACTCATTATGTTACAATGAGCAAGAAAATTTGTTTTCTTCTATGGCAAACAACATTTAAAATAATGACTAGACTTATGACTCAAGATATTATCTTAGGACATGTAATAGATAGGTCATTCACAAATTTCCAGGAATTCCATACAGCTTCCAAAACAAATAACATTTTACCAAAATATCTTTACCGAAATATAACCTAGGGAATATTAAGCATATTTTCTTACTTGTATATTGTGTGCCAAGACCAGCTTAGCTGGGGAGACCCTAAGCCGGTGGCACTACAGGAAATAAAGACACACACACAGAAATCTAGAGGTGTGAAGTAGGAAATCAAAGGTCTTACAGCATTCACAGCTGAGAGCCTCAAACAGAGATTTACCCACGTATTTATTAACAGCAAGCCAGTCATTAGCATTGTTTCTATAGATATCAAATTAACTAAAACTATCCCTTATAGGAAATGAAGGTATTGGCTGAATTAAAGGTATAGATTGGGATAGTTAACAGCAGCAGGAGCATATCCTTAAGGCACAGATCACTCATGTTATTGTTTGTGGCTTAAGAATGACTTCAAGTGGTTTTCTGCCCTCAGCAGGCCAGGTATTCCTTGCCCTCATTCCCATAAATCTACAACCTTCCAGCACGGGCTTTATGGCCATCATGCACATGTCACAGTGCTGCAGAGATTTTGTTTATGGCCAGTTTTGGGGCCAGTTTATGGCCAGATTTGGGGGGGGCGCTTGTTCCCAACATGCCCCCTTCTTTGATTTTCAAATTGATAAGAGCAAAGGCAGCTTTGTCATGGTGAGCTAATTCTTGAAGGAGTCAGGGTCCACATCTGCAGACTATACAAAGAAAAACAACATAGATTAAAAGCACAACCATCATTAAAATCACAGAGCTTCCCAGTGTTTTTATCCATTTTAATGGGTTACTAGCTGTGAATCTGTCTGCAGCTCCTTTAAGCACTCCAGTTCCTGGCATTAAGGTCAGGTGTGCCTGGGATGCTTTAAATATTTGTACTCTTAATTTTGCAATATCCAAAAATAAGTTTGTACAGCGTCCTTTTGGATACTATTTTTATTCTTTCCCAAATCTTGATCTTATTAAGAGCTATTAATAGTTTCCATAAATCCTTATGTTTAGTTTCTATGATGGGCCATATCATTTGAGGTAGATGTGCCACTATACTGCCATGGTTCCAGATAACAGGAATTCTTGCAGTACCTCTTATCATTTCTATCATCTGACCATTTTGTTCAGACAAGCTGAACATAGTGTGGCCATGGCACACAGACTGAGAGGTGTAATTCAAGCTAAACCTCCTCTTAGGGGACCAATCAATCATGATGCCATAGGAATCATTGTGCAGCACTCTGCCTCTTCTGCAAAGCAATCTTCATAAACAAGTAGGTTCATTATTTTTGGCCACGTTCTGTTTTGTTTACAAATAGGTTTTTGAAGGCGGTATGCCTCAATTATAGGAGCGGGTTTATTATGGTAAATACTGAGATCAGAAAGCATGAGCTACTGTGTCATAGATTGATTATATCCAGGCATAAGTACCAGCCAGGATTGATAAATATGCCCAATAAGTATAATTGCTCTCTGTCTCAACCCTTGTTGAAGGAATACTCATGGCAGTGGTGATAACTGCTATCATAGCTACCATTAAATTACTTGTTGTGACTGGTTGTCCCACTTTCCTCAGGTTTTCTTCTGCCATCAGTGACAGCTTCTTGATCTGTCCCCAGGTAGGTGGCTGTGTTCAATGGGTGTTTCTCATGACAGTTGGAGTCCTCCTCAGCATCAGCCTCAACATGGCTGCAACTGAGGGGTCCTCAGGGTCCTCCCAGAATCTGGCTCATGATAGGGTTTCAGGTGTCTTGATGGTGTCCAAATTGGCTGTTGATTTTGGCCTGGAGAAACACAAGCATAACCTCTACCGCAAGTTATTATTTTACCTATTTCCCAACTTCTTGTTTTTGTATCTCTCCACCAAATCAATTGTTCTCCTTCTGTCTTTGCAGCTGGTTACTGTAGATGCTGTTCAGCTGCTGATAACATCTGGCCTTTGGGCAGGTTCAAAAATTTTAAAGTTAATAATGCTAGATTCGGTTGCATCTGTGGGGTTCTGTATTCTCTATTTCCCTCTTTCTGCTTTTGCAACCGCTGTTTTAGGGAAAGATTTATTCTTCCCACTATGGCTTGTCCTTGAGAATTATATGGGATACCAGTAATGTGTTTAATATTCCACATAGAGAAAAATGTAGCTAGAGTTTGGATAGTATAGCCTGGGACATTATCTGTTTTCCTAGAAGCTGGAATGCCCATCACTGCAAAACACTGCAAAAGGTGATGTTTAACACAGGCAGAAGACTTTTCTGATTTGCACATAGCCCAGAAAAAGTGAGAAAATGTGTACGCACATACATGTACATAAGCTAGTCTCCCAAACGAGGGTGTATGTGTGACATCCATTTGCCAAAGACAGTTAGCTTCCAATCCTCAAGGATTAACTCCTGTAAAAGATGAGGAATGTACCAATTGGCAAGTTGGGCATTGCTGGATAATAGTTTTAGCTTATTTCCAGGTAATACTGTATCTGTGTTTGAGACCAGAGACATTAACATGGGTTAAACTGTGAAAGTGTCTAGCATTTGAGACTGGAGGCATTAAAATGGGTAAAATTGTGAAAGTGTCTAGCATTAGATATTGCATTAGCAACTAGGTGGTTAGCCTTTTGATTCCCTTCAGTTAAAGGTCCTGTAAGAGGTATATGAGCCCTAATGTGAGTGAGGTAAAAAGGGTGTATTGTATTCTACTTCTAACTGCTGTTTGCAATTGGGTAAATGAAGTCATCAGTTGTTTATCTGTATGAAATCATAACTGAGCATTTTCAATTAACTGTGTGGAATGAACCATGCATGAAGAATAAGAAATCACATTAATAGGTATTTCAAAAGCAGTAAATACCTCAATTACAGCTACAAGCTCTGCTTTTGATCTGAAGTATAGGACATCTGGAAAACTTTGCTTTTTGAGCTAGAATAAGAAGGTTTACCATACTAGACCCATCTATAAAACAATGAAAACACTTAGCAGGCTGCGGGTTGTTTACTACATGAATTGTAAATGCAAACCATTCACAGTCTTGCTCAGCTAAAGGGATAGTAAAGAAACAGTCTTTCAAATCTAGACTATTAAATGCCAATTTTTTGGAATTATAGCAGTAGAAGGCAATCCTGGCTGTAATGTTCCCATAGGTTGTATAACTGAGTTGATGGCTCTTACGTCAGTTAACATTCTCCATTTACCTGTTTTTTCTTAATTATGAAAACTGGAGAATTCCAATGGAAAAATTTTCAAGTCATGTGCCCATTTTCTAATTGTTCAGTAACTAATTTCTCTAAAGCCTCCAGTTTCTCTTTACTTAGCAGCCACCAGGGGCATACCCCATTTCATGCATTGCATGTTGACTTTCAGGGCTATATAATTATTCTGAAATTAGAAATTGTGGTCCTCATTGTTGTAATAAACATCTTCCCCATAAATTTATAGGTACAGAAGTTATAATTGGTTGAACAGTCCCAGGTTGTCCATTGGGCCCTTCACACTGTAAAATAGAGCTACTTTGATATACTTCAGGGGCTTTACCAACTCCAACTATGTTAAATTGAGCTGGTTGAATTGGCAATCCAGACAGCCAGTGCTGTAGAGAAATGACTGAAATGTCCACTACTGTATCTACCAAACCTTTAAATTTCTTTCCCTTAGTAGTTATTTCACAGGCAGGATGTTTATCAGCAATTTGATTTACCCAATAAGCTGCTTTGCCTTGTTTATTTGTGCTTCCAAATCCTTCTGTTCATTTAATTTCAGATTTTCCCATTCTCACATATGGCACAATCAGGAGCTGTGCTATGTGCTCTCCTGGCTCTGCTTTCCAGGGAACAGAAGTAGACATGATAATTTAATTTCCCCATTTATCAGGGGAAATTCAGCCAGATATCAGGCAAAATTCACCCCCAATATTTCACATAGATTTTTTTCTGTTTTCCCTAAGTGTCAGCCAGTCTGAGAAATAAAGGGACAAAGTATAAAAAAGAGAAATTTTAAGGCTGGGTGACAGGGAAGACATCATCACATGTTGGCAGGTTCTGTAATGCCCCCTGAGCCATAAAACCAGCAAGTTTTTATTAGTGATTTTCAAAAGGGGAGGGAGTGTATGAATAGGGTGTGGGTCACAGAGATCACATGCTTCACAACGTAATAAGATATCACAAGGCAAATGGAGGCAGGGTGAGATCACAGGACCACAGGACTGGGGCAAAATTAAAATTACTAATGAAGTTTAAGGCATGCGTTGTCATTGATAACATCTTACCAGGAGACAGGGTTTGAGAGCAGACAACCAGTCTGACCAAAAATTTATTAGGCAGAAATTTTCTCATTCTAATAAGCCTGGGAGTGCTATGGGAGACTGGGCCTCATTTAATCCCTACAGCTTCTACCATAAAAGATGGCCACACCCCCAAAGTGGCCATTTTAGAGGCCTACCCTCAGGGATGCATTCTCTTTCTCAGGGATGTTCCTTGCTGAGAAAAAGAATTCAGTTATATTTCTCCCATTTGCTTTTGAAAGAATAGAAATATGGCTCTGTTCTGCAAGCTCACCAGCAGTCAGATTTTAAGGTTATCTCTCTTGTTCCCTGAACATTGCTGTTATCCTGTTCTTTTTTAAGGTGCCCAGATTTCATATGGTTCAAATATACATGCTATACAAATAATGTGTGCAGTTAACACAATCATCACAGGGTCCTGAGGCGACATACATCCTCCTCAGCTTAGGAAGATGACAGAATTAAGAGAATAAAGTGAAGCCAGGCATAGGAAATCACAAGGGTATTGACTGGCGAAATAATAAGTGTCCATGAAATCTTCACAGTTTATGTTAAAAGACTGCAGTGAAGACAGTTGCAAGAAATTATAGAAGTATTAACTTGGGGAATGAATAAATGTCCATGAAATCTTCATAATGTGTGTTCTGCCATGGCTTCTGTGGGTTCCTCTGTTCGGGGTCGCTAACTTCCTGCAATGCCCATTATAATCTGAATCAATGACTCCTGTATGTATTTGTACCCCTTTTAAACTTAAAGTAGACCTGCCTAGAAGTAATCGTATTGTCCCTGCTGGCAAGTGTCCACAGACTCCTGTTGCGATCTTTTGCAGGGGTTCCCCAGGCAGAAGGCTCACAGCTTTTGTGCAGCATAAATCTACAGTGGCACTACCAGCTGTGGTGGGGGACAGACACTGTACAGTGGTGAGGGAATGGCCAGAGTTGAAAATGTGCTGGTTGACAATGGGCCCGGGATGGGCATCTCATGGCATTTCCCAAAATTGGGTTCCCTTCTTTATCAAACTTAGAGTGACACTGATTAGTCCAATGTTTTCCTTTTTTACATTTTGGACATATTTCAGCCTCAGCAGTTTTCTTTTTTCTCCTATCTGGTGTCCTGACTCGCTGATTTTTTTCTACATTATTTTTTAGTATGACCATGCTTTCCACAGTTAAAAGAAGCTCCAGGAAATGGAGTATTTCCTTTATCCACTCTCAGTCCTGCCACTGCCTGTACCAACACAGTAGCTTTATGCAGATTACCTCCGATACCATCACAGGCCTTGATATAGTCAACTAAATGTGCTTTCCCTCTGATAGGTCACAGAGCAGCCTGGCAATCCGGATTACCATTGTCAAAACTAGTAACTGCAACACTATATCCTAAGCAGCCAAATCTGCAGTCATCTTTTTAAGAGACTAAAGGAAGGATATTGTTCTCCACTTGAAGTTATTTTCTCCCAAGCTCTAATGCACCCTCCTCTAAGCTGTTCTATGGCATCATCCTGCATGACTAGTTGTGAATCTGAACCAGCCCAGCCACCAACCCCCAAAGTTGGTCTGCAATTATATTAATTTGAGGTTGGGCATGGGCATTGCTAGCAGCCTGAATGGAAGCTTCATCTGCCCACCAAGTTTTAAATGGTAAGAACTAAGCAGGAGTTCGACAAGCTTGAGTAAGAGCATCTCAGTGAGTAGGAATCATCTGACTGGAAACAGCAACATTCTTTAACAGTCCCATTACAAAAGGAGAACCTTGTCCATACTGATTTATAGCTTGTTTAAATTATTTGAATAATTTAAAAGGAAAAGCCTCAAATGTAACTATTATATTTCCCTCTTGATCTGGGGAGTGTATTCTAACAGGGAACTGTCAAGCCTCTAAATCACCCTCTTGTCTGGCTTGCTGAATTCCTGCCTGAATAGAACTAAGGGTGGTCACTCAAGGCGCTGCTCAAAGTCACTGGGGCAACTACTTTTAGCCCAGTGTCCTCCAGAAAAGAAAGATCTGGAGGGTCTTTTTCTTCAAAATAATAATGAGGGAATGCAGAAGGGTAGGGATGAACCTCTCCTTCCTTTGCCGCTTTAGCTTTAGCTGGCAAATAAACATGCTCTGTAACCTCTTCTTTTACTTCGCTATACTCTCCTTCCTCCTCATCAGCAGTGTGAAAAGTTCCAAGGTGAAATGAACCAGAACCCACACTTGTCCCATTGTTACCCTGATGATTCTGAGCTCCCCTTCTTACTCACCATGGGGATTGGCTAAGAGTACTCAGGTGTCGTCCAGCTAGTTTCACATTCTCCAGCCATCACTCTGGTGACCTTCCAATCTGGATTTGAGCCCCAACAATGGATGCCACTTGCTGATACCAGTTTGGTCGGGGAGACCCTAACTCAGTGGCGTTAGACGAATTAAGGACATACACACAGAAATATTGAGGTGTGAACTGGGAAATCAGGGGTCTCATAGCCTACAGAGCTGAGAGCCTCAAACACAGATTTACCTACATATTTACTAACAGCAAGCCAGAAATTAGCATTGTTTCTATAGATAGTAAATTAACTAAAAGTATCCCCTATGGGAAACAAAGGTATAGGCCTAATTAAAGGAATAGGTTGGGCTAGTTAACTGCAGCAGGAGCATGTCCTTAAGGCACAGATCACTTATGCTATTATTTGTGGCTTAAGAGTGTCTTTAAGTGGTTTTCCACCCTGAGTGGGGGTGGGGGGCTAAGTGTTCCTTGCCCTCCTTCCAGTAAGCCCACAACCTTTCAGCATGGGTGTTATGGCCATCATGAACATGTCACAGTGCTGCAGAGATTTTGTTTATGGCCAGTTTTGGGGCCAGTTTATGGCCAGATTTTGGGGAGCTTGTTCCCAAAAAAACTGTTTGTCATGTATTAGCATTCCAGAGTGGGTTACATAATTTTTGAACAAACCATCTCAATTTTTAGAGGCATATATTTTCTCATAGTATAATGTCTCATTATTGTAGAAAGGATGTTCGTAAACAGATAAAAATATCTTTTAGTCTCTCTCAAAGTAAGAAGCTAGAGCACTGGGAGTGGTGGCTCATGTCCGTAATCCCAGCAGTTTGGGAGGCCAAGGTGGGTGGGCCACCTGAGGTCAGGGGTTTGAGACCAACGTGGCTAACATCCTGAAACCCTGTTTCTACTAAAGTTACAAGAAAATTAGCTGGGTGTGCCTATAATCTCAGCTACTAGGGAGGCTGAGGCAGGAGAATCATTTGAATCTGGGAGGCAGGGTTGCAGTGAGCTGAGATTGTGCCATTGCACTCCAACCTGGGCAACAAGAGAAAACTCCATCTCAAAAAAAAAAAAAAAAAAAAGATAAGAAAAGAAGCTATAGTATATAAGCTTCAATTTATGTTTTGTAATTACTGGTTTTTATTTTGTTTTATAAACCTATTTTGTTTATCATAACTTTAAAGTTACAAATTACCAGAAAGATTTTATAAATCAGTATTAGATATACTGTAACACATTATTATTACAATAATGTTGGTCATAAGAATGGCAACTTAATTAGCATCAAACTATAAGATTTAAGATTTTAAATATTGAGTGAATATAATATCAATTTGTTTGGTAAGTAAATGAAATAAAAATGTACGTCTGTTTCATATTGAATAGTGACAACTCTAAATACATACTTGTTTTATTAAGCAAAAAATATTAGATAGTTTTACTTACCAAAGGTTTTTCAAAATAATCTGCACTTGAAAAACATTTGGATTAGTTGCTCTATTTTCTGCATGTTTTAGAAATATTTATCCTATAAGTGCTAAGTTTTTTCCAAGCCAATCTAGAATAGAGCACTTTTAAATGATTTTAGAGATTAATTTTGCACTGACATTCAGAGATGTGAAAGTATCACATATAAAAAAATACAAACATACGTAAGACATATCTAAGTATAAATTTTATAGAATTCATTCTAAAACTGTAGCCACAAATCCAGCACAAATACTGTAATGGCTAATTTTAAGTGTTCGCTTGACACAATTAAGGGATACTCACATAGCTGGTAAAGTACCATTTCTGTATACATTTTTGAGGGTGTTTCTGGAAGTCTCTTAATAAGAACCTCTATGGATTTCATCATCTTTCTCTTATTGGTATTGAAAGGGAGTCTTGGCCGGGGTTTCTTCTCACACTGTAATCCCAACGCTTTGGGAGGCCAAGTTGAGTGAATCATGAGGTCAGGAGTTGGAGACCATCCTGTCAAACATAGTGAAACCCCATCTCTAATAAAGATACTAAAAATTTAGCCAGGCATGATGGCACATGACTATAGTCCTAGCTTCTCCTCAGGCTGAAGAAAGAGAATCTCGTAAACCCTGGAGGTGGAGGTTGAGGTGAGCTGAAATTATGCCATTGCACTACAGCCTGGGCAACAGAGTGAGACTCTGTTAGAGAGGGGTGTGGCTAAGAGAGAGAGAGAGAGAAAGAGAGATAGACAAAGAGAGAGAGAGGGAGACTGTTGGAAAGAGAGAAAGAAAAATAAAGAAAGAAAGAAAAAGAAAGAAAGAGAGAGAGAGGGAGGGAGGGATGGAGGGAGAGAAGGAAGAGGGAGGAAGGAAGGGAAAGAAAGCCTCATTAAAATGGAGATTTCCTTATTAGATGTAAATTTCCCTTACAAAAGGGTAACTACTTCTCTGCTTTCAGAAGTTCCCCTGTGTCTGCATTTTCTGAAAATGGTGAGTTTAAAATAAGCCTTATACCAAAGAAGCATAGTTTCTGGTCATGTATTCTGATCTCCCACCATCCTGCATTCCACCAGAAATGAATGAATCCCTGTTTATCCTCCAGAAAATCGTTTGTCATGTTTTAAAAACAGTTTAGCAGTACTAGCAAATATAGATGGGGCCTGCTATCTCATCCTTGTGATTTTCAGTCCTGCAATGATATGAAATTGAATATCTTTTTGTTTCCTTGTCATCTCTTTGTCTTCATTGGTGAGTTATCTGCTCAGCTCTTGACCCATTTTTATTTGGATAGTCTATTTTATTTTTGAATTTCGAACTTTCTTTGTATATTTTGAGTGCAAGTTCTTGCTTAAATCTGTCTTTTGAAGATATTTCTTTTCAATCTGTGGCTTGTCTATTTACTGAACAATATTTTTCACAGAGTGCAAACTTTTAATATGAGAAAGCATTTTTTTTTTTTGCATTTTAAGTCTCAGGACTATGTTGAGGACATTTTTGTTTAAGAAGTAAAGTTTGCGTCTGCATTCACGTCATTTTCTGTGGTTTCCAGTTATTGGTTCCTTCTCATTTTTAGAAAAAAAAAAAAAAAGGATAATAGGCTCCATTTCCGTTTGAATTGTCAAAATGATGGGCGCAGAACAATCTGAACTCTGCCTTTATTTGATGCCGCAGGCCAGCCAGGAGGGAGCGCACAGGGCCGCCCTGGACCACGTGGGTCTTGCAGTTCCTCCGTCCACCTGCACAGCGGCGCGCGAGCACCCTTTTCAGACCTTGTGAGTGCTCGGGTGTTCACCGCCTGCTGCGGCGGAGGACAAGAGCTGCATTCCCCTCAGCACACACGCTAGCAACTCCGCCTCGCTCAGGGACAGCCTGAGGCAGAGATAAGTAAAAACCTTCCTATGACTGTTGAGGATCAAGGGCTTAGTAAAATGGCTTTGTGTGGAACATTAGAAGTAAAAAAATATATGTTTTTTAGTGCTACCCAAGGTCCGTCCCCACACAAGGCGCGGTGGACGCAATGCAAAGTCAACGCCATGGACTTGTGACACATATATAACATTCTTCATAAATTATATCATCTCTACTACAAATGTAACATCAGTAAACTAACACAGCACCTATAATACAGATGCAACAGTACTACAAATGTAACACCTGTAATACTCATATAACACTTATCTTACAAGTGTAATACTCATAACAGTAATGAAACACTCATAATACCAACGTACCATCCACAATAAAAATATAACAACCATAATGCTAATCTAACACTCACGATACAACTGTAACACTAATAATAACGATACATGATCCGCAATACAAATAAAACATCGGTAACACTGATGTAACACCTGTAAAGCTGTCCTGACACCTGTAATACAACTGTAACACTCATGATACCAATATACCATGCACAATTCAAATATAACAACTGTAATTTTGATGTATCAACTGTAATACCGATGTAACACCTGTAATACTAAAATAACACTCATGATACTCATATAACATTTGTAATACAAATAGAACAACTGTAACACTAATATAACACCCATAGTTACTATTGTAACACTCATCATACAGATGTAACACATGTAATACATAAGGTTTCTACTCTTACCAGGGCCCTTAGTTTTACACCTTCCATTGATCTGGATTTGCGTTGGATTTCCCTCTATAATGAAATTTGGGTTAATGTCTCTGCTTTAGTTTCATGGTATTGACATGGTTGTTTTCATTTAAAAGTAGTTTACTTCCCAATAATTTCATACTTCTAAGGAACTTGCAGTAGCAGTTAGTATACTTCATCCTTTTTTCCAGATTTCTCAGCAGTTAGTGCTGTGCCGGATTTGCAGTTTCGTGCAAAATATCCCAGTGTGTTTTACCAAAAGCGGGAACTCTCTCTCAGGTTACCACCACATAACAACCATATCAGGAAATACACTATTTCTACATGAAAGTCCAATCCACAGACCTATTTCACTTTAACATTGGCTTCACCTGAGGGAAAAACGTCTCCCAAATTCTTGACCTCTGGAGGCTGAGGTACGAACGGTAACATTTATTGGAAACTCTAGTCCATCAGGAAAGTCTTCATTTCAGAATGTCATTTTTGCTAATTTTTTTTTCATCTGAGGAAACTTACCCCCAAGCAGTATTGCTACCTTGTCTGTTCCTCAGGTAGAGATAAAAAGTAGTAATTTTACCACACAGCATCACATGACTATGAGAAAAGCTATTATATGAAACATTTGATGGAGTAGAACTTATATATTTTACTGTTTGTATTTTTATGTGCTTGTTTTCCATACGCATGTTTTTTGGCGAAGTGTGTGTTCAACTATTTCTTCATTTTGTAATTGGATTGTTTGTCTTTTATGTTGTTGTTGAGTTATACAATTTCTTTATATATTGTGGATAACACACTATTGTCACATATATAATGTGCAAATCTTTCTGTGACATGTCTTTTCACTTTCTTGTCAGTGTCTTCTGTTGCACAAAAGTTTTTGAGGAAATTATTTCTTTATTTGCCTGTGATTTTAGTGTCATATCTAAGAAACTACTGCTAAATCCAAGGTTATGAACATTTATCCCTATGTTTTCTTCTAGAGTTTACATTTTTACCTCTGTTTACATATTAAACTTTTTGAACCATTTTGAGTTAATTTTTGAGGCTTCTGAAGCATTTTGAATTAACTTTTCTACATGTTATGAGGATAGAGTACAATTTATTTGTCTGAATTTTAGTAGTCAGTGGTCTAACACCATTTGTTGAATTTAATGGTCTTGGCTACATGTCAAAAATCATTGACTATAGAGGTATTCTTGGACTCAACATTCAGTTCCATCGATCTATATGTTTGTCCTTATGCTAGTATTATGGTCTTTTTATTACTGTTCCTTTGTAGTAATATTTGAAATTGAGATCCAAGTTGGTTTTTGTTTTCAAGAATATTTTGGCTACTCAGAATCCCTTGAAATTTATATGAATGTCATGACTGGCTTGCCCATTTCTGCCAAAAGAATTTTGGTATTTCGTAGGAATCACAGTGAATTTGTAGATTGCTTTGTGTATTATTGCCATCATATAAAATATCACCTTTTAATCCAGAAACATGGAATGTCTTTACATCTATTTAGGGTTTCTGAAATTTATTTCAGCAATATTTTATAATTTGTCATGTCTAAGTCTTGCACCGTGGTTAAATTTAAGCTTAAAATATTACTACCACTGATTTTGTTGTTGTTTGAGGAAGCGTCTCAGTCTCTGGCCCAGGTGGCAGTGTGGTGGGTGGTGTGCTCACTGCAGCTTCAAACTCTTTGGCTCTAGCAATCCTTACACATTTCACTCCCAAAGAAATGGAATTACAGGCATAAGCCACCACACCACACCTAGACTTTTTTTTTCCTGTTTTGAATATTGCCAAGGAATGTTGCTTTACAGTCAATAAAAATACAGTACTTTCAGTTTCCCAAAAGGTATAATGTACAAGAAGTCTTAAGTCATATAGTTGACTTGTTGACCCTGTGGATATCATTCAGTTACTTCTTCAAAAATTGTACCTAGTAACCTTCCAAAATTATTTTTTTAAAGTTCTTAAATTGTAGCGATAAACAAAATGTGAAAACTAGACATTTTTATTTTATATTATTATTATTATTATTATTATTATTATTGAGATGGTATCTTGCTCTGTCACTCAGGCTGGAGTTCAGTGGCACCACCTCAGCTCACTGCAACCTCTGTCTCCAAGGTTCAAGCAATTTCCCTGCCTCAGCCTCCCGAGTAGCTGGGATTACAGGTGCCTGCCATCCTGCCTGGCTAATTTTTGTATTTTTAGTAGAGACGAGGTTTCGTCATGTTGGCAAGGCTGGTATCGAATTCCTGATCTCTGGTGATCCATGCACCTCAGCCTCCCAAAATGCTGGGATTACAAGCCTGAGCTGCTGCTCCTGGCTGACACTTTTAAGGAATACTGAAGTTTATTTAAAAGAAAATAAGAAATTTCAGATTGTATTCCTTTTTTTGAGACAGGGTCTCTCTGTTGCCCAGGCTAAAATGCAGAGATGCCATCATGGCTGACTGCAACCTCTAACTCCCAGGCTCAATTAATCCTTCCTCCTTAGCCTCAGCCACTATACCTGGTTAATTTTTTTTGTATTTTTTGTAGAGTACCCACTTGGCCTCCCAAAGTGCTGGGATTATTGGCATTGATAAAACATTTAATATGTTAGGTTTAGATAAAAATCAACATTCTGGCTAAGCTATGAACATTTTTATAATGCAGTTATTCATTTATGCCTAATTTTCAGCATTTTTGTGTTACCATTGCTCATTTTAAGAGACATACACAAAGCATAAGGCAAACCCACTTATGAGTTGCATATTTGTTTCACAGTTTGTGAAAATGTCCTTAGTTTGTTCATATTGCAAACACATTTCAACTCTGCTATGCAAATAACAAAAGTCAACCTTATTTAAAATTAATTTTATAGTTACATTGCATACAGGGAATGCACTGTCTAGAAGAAAAATAGTATCTCAACTACGGGTCTTAAACACTGACAATAGTTAACAGCTGGCCAGGCTCAGTGGCTTACACCTATAATCCCAGCACTTTGGGAGGCCAAGGCAGGTGGATCGTGAGGGGAAGAGATCGAGGCCATCTGGCTAACATGGGGAAACCCTGTCTACTAAAAATGCAAAAAATTAGCCAGGTGTGGTGGCAGGTGCCTGTAGTCCCAGCTACTCAGGAGGCTGAGGCAGGAGCATGGCGTGGACCCAGGAGGCAGAGCTTGTAGTGAGCTGTGATCGTTCCGCTGCACTCCAGCCCAGCTGACAGAGTGAGACTCCACCTCAAAAAAAAAAAGGAGTTGACAGCTTATTATAATTTATTTTATTATATCAATTCATTTTATTTATATACAATCAACTGTATTTACATGCAATCTAGAAAGTTCACAGCCATCAGCAGTTCTAGTGCAGCTTCAGGTAAAATGGGAATTTAGGAATCTCTGTTGAACTGTATGTTTAGTGAAATATTTAGGTAAAATACGTGCATGCTTTTGGCTGCACTTGTGAAGGGATATCTCTTAAATTGACCTCAATGCTTTCCTCCTCAGAAAAATGACCTGGGTCACTCAAATGGGTTTCATTGTTGTTGAGGTTTATGCATGTTCTCCTTTTACAACAAATTCATGACTCAGAAGATATCTATTTGATATCATGGGATTAGGACTTTCACAACCATTGTAGGTTTTCTCTTCTTCACATCCATTATGTTTTTAAGTAATTCTACTTGAATCCCCAGGAACTTGAATAGTTTTTGTTAGCCCCACAGCCACTGCAGCCCAGGACCCAATGTAGCAACACAGCCTCTGCTCCAAGGCCTATCTACCTGCCCCTATGGGTTTTAGAGCCGTTGGAGTAATTCTAGTCCTGTAAGTTTTAATTTGTTTACAAGATTTCATAATTTATTGTTTGTTCCTTATGATTTTCTGCATATATGATTATGAGATCTATGAGTAGATAGTTTTACTTTTTTCTTTCACATATGAATGTGTTGGTATATATTTGTCTTTTCTAATTGTTTTGGATGGAAGTTCTAGAACAGTGTTGAATACAGTGATGAAAGTGGGCATCAGTGCTGCATTCCTAATCTTAAAGCCTTGCTTCCCAACAACTCAAATGATGATTGTTATGTGCTTTGCATAAAGATGTTTTATCATATAAAAGAAATTCAAACCCACTTTTTGGATGTTTGTATTATTAAATTTGTTGACTATATTTAAGTACTTTCTGTAACAGTTGAGATAAACATGTAGTGTTTTTTCATCATTTAATTTACATGACATATTGAAAAGGGATGGCTTTAGAATGTTGAAAAACCCTTGATTTTCTGAATAAAGAACTTAGTCATTCTGGTGTGTAATGTCTTCACTATGTACCTAATTCCATCTACTAGTATTTGTTTAAGCATTATGACGTCTATAATTATCAGATTTGTTAATATTTAGTTTTTTGTCCCCGTGATATCATATGTTTAATTGAATACTCAATTGGAATTACAAAGAAGTATTGCTTGATGTACTCTTATGGGCATTAGGACTTAGAGGTTAGAGTCATCGAGGATATATTTAAATTTTTTTGAAGGATGATGGGGTAACATTAAAGACAGGATAGAAGTTGGGTATTAGGGAAGGGGTTTACAATTGCAGAAGAAATGTTAGTGTTAGATTGAGGGTTAGGGCTGGGGTTGGGTTAGGGGCTAGTGTTGTGGTAGGATTAGGGTTAGGGTTAGAATTAGGATTAGGGTCAGGGGTCAAGGTTAGTGTTAAGTTTAGGGCTAGAGTTAGAATGAGGTTTAGATGTTAGGTTAGGTTAGGTTTGGGGTCGGATTATGCTTAGGTTTAGGTTAAAAAACAGGCTTATACTTAGAGGTTAGGAGCTGGGGTAGGTAGGGTTAAGTTCTAGGTTAGGGTCATGGCCAGCGTTATGGTTAGTGTTATGAGTTAGAATTAAGGTGAGGGTGAGAGTGAGGGTAATAGGGTTAGTGTGTTACTGTTAGGGTTAGGGCTTAGAGTTAGGGTTAGGATAAGGATAAGAATTCAGTTTAGGTTTTAGGGTTTGGGCTCAGGTTAGGTTTTCAGGTTAGTGTTAGTGTTAGGGTTAATGTTTAGAGTTTAGGGTTAGTGTTTAGGATTTAGGGTTAGATTTAGGGTTATTGTATAGCATTTAAGGTTAGGGTTAAGGTGGCTTTAGGGTTAGGATAAGGGGTTACGGTGAGGCTCAGTGTTAGGTTTGCATTAGGTTTAGGGTTACAGTATAGGATTAGGGTTAAGTTTGGGTTTAGCATTTTTGTTTATGCTTAGGGTTAGGGTTTATGCTTATGGTTAGGGTTAAATTCTGTTAGAATTAGGGGTTAGGGTTTGTGTTTAGGCTTAGGGTCAGGGTTTAGTGTTAGGTTTACATTTAGGGTTGAGTGTTTGGATTAGGGTTTGTGTTAGGGGTTATAATTAGGTTTAGCCTTAGATTTATTTTTTAGTGTTAGCTCTGTTCTATGATTAGGTTGAATTTTGAGGAATAAGGTAGGATTTAGCATTTAGGATTAAGTTTAAGTTTAGGTTTAAAATGTTTGAAGGTTATTATTAGGTTTATTATTAATTGTTATGTTTACGTCTTGGGTTTAGGGTGTATGGTTAAAGTTGATGTTAGCATTTACAGTTTGGTGGTAGCATAGGGCTTGCTTTTAATTTTAGCTTTATGGTTATGATTATGTTACAATTATGGTTAGGTTTATGTTTAGGTTTCTTGTTTGGAGTTTTGGTCTTGGTTAGAGTTTGTGTTAGGTTTAGTGTTGGAGTTGGGTTTGTAGTAGAGATAGGGTTAGGATTAGTGTTAGGGTTATGGGTTAGGGTTATCATTACCTGTTAGGGTTATTGTTTGAAGTTTAGGGTTTAGGGCCTAGTGTTAATGGTTAGGGTTAAGGTTCAGCCTTAGATTTTGAGTTAGGGGTTAGGCTTAGGTCTACTGTTCACCTTTGGTTAGCATTTGGGTCAGGGCCTTGGTTTGGCATTAGTGATTAAAATTTAGATCTAGGATGTATTGTTTTGGCTAGTTGTTACAGTCTTTATTAGGTTTAGTGTTTTATGGTTAGGGTTGTTGGTCAATTTGTGGTTGTTTTTGGGGTCACAGTTAGAGTCTGGGTTAGGGTTAGACCTCAGGGTTTGGGTAGTGTTATGGTTTTGTTAAGTGTTATGTTTAGGTTCCGGGTTAGGGATTAGTGGTTAGGGTTTGGATTGGGTTAGTTATAGGCTTCGGTGTCAGCAATTATAGTTACAGTTGGCATTGCAGTTGGGTAGGAATAGGGTTTTAGGCTTAAAGTTAGGGTTAGTGTTTTAGCATTATGGTTATAATTAATGGGGAGGTTTGTGGTTGAGGTTGTTGTAGGACTGGGGTAGGTTTAGGATTAGTGTTATTGTTTATGGTTGGAGTTGAGATTAGAGTTTATATGTTTGGGTTATTTTCAGTGTTAGGGTTAGTGTTACAGGGTTAGGGTTTGGATTATAATGTTAGCTTTAGGATTTGGTTTAGGGTTAGTGGTAATGTGAGGGTTAGTGTTTAGCATCAGTGTTAGGGTTTCAGTGTTAGCTTCAGATTTATATTTAAGTTTGCGTTAAGATTGGCTTAGGGTCATGTTTAGAGGCAGTGTCATGCTCATTTTCAGGATTATGTATTAGAGTTAGTTTTAGGGTAACAATTAAGGGTCCAGATTGGATTTGGGCTTGGGGTTAGGGTTGGGGATAGGGTTGGAGTTGCAGTTGATGTTGTTCAATATATGGGTAGTGTTAGTGTCATGGTTTTAAGGTAGGGGTAGGGTAGGTTTAGAGTTAGTGTTGGGGTAGATGTGGGAGTTAGGGTTATGTGTTAGGTGTTAGAATTACAATTTTAGGGTTAGGTTTTTTTGTTTTGGGTTTAGGGCTAGGATTGCATTTAATTTAGGTTTAGGGTTTGGGTTAAAAGTTGGGATTTGGGTAGGTTTAGGACTAGGGGTAGGTTTAGGATTGGGGATAGGTGTAGTGCTACATTTAAGTTTAGGGATGTGGCTAGTTTATGGTTTTGGTTGGGGTTAAGATTAGGATTATAGTTAGCATTTTAGGGTTATTTTTAGGGTTTAGTGTTAGTTGTTAGGGTTTGGATTAGATGTCTTTTTCTGTCTCACTCGTGTTCTCCAATGGACCAGTCATCACACTCTTTCTGTCCTCTGAAGTCCATGTGAACTTCAGACTTATTCAGATTTTGAAATAACTTGTCTTCATGGTGGAGCCACCAACTGTGGGCCTCCTCTAACTGAGACTTATACACTTACTGGGATTGCCTGCCTGCAGATAGATAGGTCTCCTCCTAACTAAGGGATGTAGAGACATCTCAATAACCTTCCTGCTGATAGAAGCTACCCACTGTGAATCCCCCCTCCACTAAGGGCTTCAGAGGTGTTTACACAACCTTTCTGTCTACTGAAATTTGTATCTCTGGGTCTCCTATTTACTGAGTGTTTCGCAGATGCAGGTATGTCCTCTTTGTAAAATGGAGTTACCCACTTTGTGTCTCCTGAGATCGGTATCTTCACCCAATAAAGCATCTATTTACCTTGGTTACCCTCCATTGTCCCACATATGTCATTCTTTCTGGACATGGGACAAGAACTCAGGACCCTCTTAATGGCACAACTAAAAGTACAGTAACAGAAACAGGGTTGAAACACTCAAACCCACACTTGCCACATTGTTAGAAGAATTTTTTTTAAAAAAAGGATTAGAAGGGCTTAACCCTTACAGAAGCCCAGACCTAAACATGTTCCAAGTCAGAACTGTGACACCATCACTGGGGCTCTCCAGTTTCTGGCATTTCTAAGCTTTTGGATGCCACTGCATTCTCCAGTGCTTTTGGAGGAAACAGCTTGTGGTATGCCTGATTCAGCCAAAGACTTGCATGGTGTTGGCACCTGTTCTAGCACTTGTATCAGCTCACCTTATCACAGCCAGTTTGTTTAGCTATGTGCAGTGGCTGGACTCAAGAGTCACTCAGGCACCTCTCTCTACTCTGTGTCTGGCTCACCCATTGCAGGAATAGAATCTGAGCTGATATTTCAGCTAAGCACAGCCTGTCAAGCTGAGTCAGTAAAATTAGCTCAGCTGCCCCAGGAGAAACTTGGGCAATGCTGCCACCATCTACAGAGATTTTTCGCTGGTGAAGCAACAGCCTAGAGATACTGTGACAAAAATCAGATGGTTCACCTGTGGCCAGTAGATTATTCAATCATGCCTATGTAATAAAGCCTCAATAAAAATCCAAGAGGACAGGCATAAGAGAGCTCTGGATAGCCACTGCACTCCAGTCTGGGTGACAGAGAGAGACTCCGTCTCAAAAAAAAAAAAAAAAGAATGAGCCAGGCATGGTGGCTCATGCCTGTAATCCCAGCACTTTCGGAGGCTGAGGTGGGTGGATCATGAGGTCGGAAGATCAACACCATCCTGGCTAACACAGTGAAATCCCCGTCTGTACTAAAAGCACAAAAAATTAGCCAGGCATGGTGGTGTTGTGCTTCTAGTCCCAGCTGCTGGGAAGGCTGAGACAGGAGAATGGCATGAACCTGGGAGGTGGAGTTTGCAGCGAGCTGAGATGGCGCCACTGATCTCCAGCCTGGGTGACAGAGCAATACTCCAACTATAAATCATGCTGCTATAAAGACACATGCACACGTATGTTTATTGTGGCACTGTTCACAATAGCAAAGACTTGGAACCAACCCAAATGTCGAACAATGATAGACTGGATTAAGAAAATGTGGCATATATACACCATGGAATACTATGCAGCCATAAAAAATGATGAGCACATGTCCTTTGTAGGGACATGGATAAAATTGGAAATCATCATTCTCAGTAAACTGTCACAAGAACAAAAAACCAAACACCACATGTTCTCACTCATAGGTGGGAACTGAACAATGAGAACACATGGACACAGGAAGGCGAACATCACACTCTGGGTACTGTTGTGAGGTGGGGGAGGGGGGAGGGATAGCTTTAGGAGATATACGTAATGCAAAATGACGAGTTAATGGGTGCAGCACACCAGCATGGCACATGTACACATATGTAAATAACCTGCACATTGGGCACATATACCCTAAAATTTAAAGTATAATAATAATAAAATAAAAAAATTCACTTTTTTTAAAATAAAATTCTATTGTCGATTTTGTGGAGAGCAAATTACGAAGATGCACATTGTTAATTTTTTCTCTTTCATAATTGATAATAATCACATATTTATCTTTACCGTAATCTTTATTTATTTATACTGCTGTTCAGTGTCCTTTCATTTT
This sequence comes from Homo sapiens, assembly GCF_000001405.40. Classification (NCBI taxonomy): domain Eukaryota; kingdom Metazoa; phylum Chordata; class Mammalia; order Primates; family Hominidae; genus Homo; species Homo sapiens. The sequence continues at coordinate 9,225,301 of NC_000024.10, read as the reverse complement.
ATCCTGAAATACTCCATAGAGCATTTCTTAAAGGGTTATCTAAAAAGACCCCAGCTTATATTTTGGAATGTCATAATTTCTCCCTCATGTTTGATGGACTTTATTTGGACGTAAGATTTGTATTTGAAAGTCTTTTCTTACATTACTTGGAAAATATTAGTCTTCTGCTTTCTGACCTCTGAGTTTCTAGATAAGAAATCTGCTGATTATTTTTGAGGGTTCTTTTTACATGACTAGTCACTTCTCTTGCTGCTTTCAAGATTCTCTTTGTCTTTGTTTTAGTATAATTATCATGTAGGTTTGAGTGTGTTTCTTTGAGTTTATCTTAATGGGAGTTTGTTGCTCTTCCTAGATGTTTATTTCCTCAAATGTGTTATATTCTTGACCACTGTATTTTTAGTCTCCCTGTTTCTTTGTCTCTTCTCTTTGAACTTTCAAAATGCATAAGTAGATCTCCTTGATCGTGTCCTACTGGATCTAGGCTGTGTTCACATTTCTTTATTTCTTTTTCTCTTTCTGACTTAATAATTTCAACTGCCCTTCTTCTAGGTTTGCCAACATTTTGTTCTTTTATCTGCTCAAGTCTCCTTTTAAATGTATGTAGAAAATTTCTATGTCATTTGTTTTCCTTTCTAGGTCCATAATTTTTTCTTAATTTTAAAAATAAGTTTACTCTCTCTTTATTAACATTTTTTGTTCATGAATTTCTTTGTTTTGGAAGGTCGAGGCAGGAGAATCATTTTGTTTATTCTAGTAGCTTCCTAAGGACATTAATTTTTAAAATTATTTTTTAGAAAGCGTGCCATTTGAGCTTTCTATGAAAAGCTTCTGTTAGTGATTTTTCTTTTCTTAGGATGATCCGTACTTTCTTATTTAACTTTTTGCTTTGTGATTTTGTTGGTGTTGAAAAGAGGCGTTCAAATTTTAAAACGCTAAAACTTTGAAAATCAGATTTTCTCCCCCTGTGATTTGCTAGGGTTTTTTTTTATTCCTCATGTCAGTTATTTCTGTCCTGGCAGTCAGTCTTACTCAACTTATTCTTGGGTCTTTCTTGAGTGTGCACCATTTGGGGGCACATATGGTTAACAACAAATTTTATTCTAAAGTTTCATGTACATATATTTTCTTTTTAATATTTTTGTCCATAATTGTAGGTCTCTTAAGATAAAAAAATGGAAAATTAGAAAAAAAAATGTTCTGGCTCTTTAAATCTTCTGAAAGTTGCTTGAGGAGGAGGAGGAAAAGCCTGCGAAAGGTTTGGGGAATGAAATCATGACTTGTTCCCTGTGTCGGGACGGCCATAATCAGAAGCAGCAATTGATGCCCAAGTCCTCCTGAGATTTGGAGGACTGAGTTCTTTTTGTTTATCCTGGCTCTTGCTAGCTGCTCCAGAAGTATTTGCAAGGTAGCACATCACTGCAGTAGCTGATAAAAAATAAATAGCTGCTGGTGATCTACACTAAAATATGATCAAATTTAATTGTTTACTATGCAAAGCTTCTTTTGGAAATGGTATACCTTCAGATAGACTCTGGAGTTCCAAACTAATTGCATCATACCGAGTCTGCCACTTGAAGAGACAGATATATAGTGTTCTATAGTCCACTCTCATGCTTTTCCCAGAACTTGTATCATTTTACTTTAAATCTCCATGTCTTTGCACCTAAAGTAAGACTTGGGTAGAAATCATATAAGTTAAGTCCTTCTTTAAAGGTGCATTTTCACCATTCTTTGCCTTTGTTATGCAAGAGCTCATATTTAAAGTTATTACAAGTAAAAAAAATAATTACTCTAACATTTATTTCCTTGTTTCCCATATGTTCTCTATCTTATTGGATCCTCAGTTCCTCTGTTGATCATTTTAAAAATTTGGTTATTTTCTTAGTTTATTCTTTTCAGTATTTTTATATTATAATTAGTTATATTTGGGACTTCTTGTAATATTCTACACATTAAATCACCTACTTTGAAGAATATTAAGTCAATTGAATTATCTAAAATTTAATTTTAATAATAAAAGTATGCTGCTCTTGGGCTTTTCTATCCTTCTCAATTTATATTATTATCTCAGATTGTATCTGTACACATTGAGTGTCCATTAAAATAGATTTGTAGTTTTCTATGTAATAGCTGCCTACCAGAAGTATAATAGTAATAGCTAACTTTGCCAGTGTTGTAAAAGTAACACTACTTTCCTTAGAGAAGGATTAGTCACACATTCCTTTAGCTTTTATCTACACATTTTTTGCCTGAGTATTATTTTACCAGTTATATATTTTCTTCATATCTCCAAGGTGTTTTCTTAGTTATTGAAAGCTTAGCATGCATTCCATTATCATTCTGAATGAGAGCAATATGAAAACTATCATTAAAAAATCTGAATCTCTATTAATCAATTGTCTATTGTATGAAATAACTGTATTCTTTTCTCTCAACAACATAAAGATTTGTGACCAATTCTTGGCATTTTCAACCAAGAGTGGGTTCTTACTTAGGCAAAACTGAAATAAATGTGTTTTATCAATTCTTCATTACCTCCTAGGTAAACACAATAAATTAGCACATAAAGACTTCTTTACTTGTTCCTGAATCAGGAATCTGGGCCTCAAATTAAAAATACAAATTTCAGTTTTGAAGGCTTTATATGTGCCTAGGAGGCACTATGGCAATAAAAAAAAACATTTATAATTTTAAAATTGTCTCCCTTGATTGTGAGCTTGGTTCATAGAAACTGTTGATTTCCAGGTTCCAGACACTTTTTTATTGGTTTGATGTTTCTTTGAATGGTTTGAAGCTATCTTCCCTATAGTTTTGCTTTCATTTTTATTTATAAAGCACTGATTGTTTTCTAATCTCAGAGTCCATTTTTATTTAGATCTTATTTTTGTCCCATAAAAAATGTTATTTAAAACACTTACATTGAATATTACACTTATAATTTGGGATCCTGGAAGTTATGTTTTTGTTTTAGTGGTTATGGTGCATATAAAGTTTTTTGTTTGCATTTGATTAATTGAGGTTATCAATTCCATATAAAATGCATGAGGCAAGATTCTCTATTATAAAGTACATTTTGGTTTTATGTAAAACAGGTATACAGTAATTTGTCTCCAAAGTGACTTGCAAGTTCATATCTAAATAAAATAAGAACATAATTATGTAAGTATGCAGCAAGATTAAGAGGCATGATGATTTCTGGCAGAGTTCTGCTTAGATTGCTTGCAAAACAGCCAGGTCACTGTGGTCGTAGCTGACTGTGGAAGGGGAAGGATTATAGATGGTAAGCCAACAGAGGTACCAGACAGTCCATGTGAATGTCTAGGGTTTCTGTAGGTCAGTAGGTTTAAAATAGTTTTACTTTATGCCTCTTGATGACTGGAAGTGGAATTGGTAAGGTTGTTACTAGCATCTAGTGCTGAAAGGCTAGAAATGCTGCTAAATATCTTAAAATCTAGAGTCTTAGGCACCTTTGAGACATTAACAGTGTTGAAGCATCTTTACAGAAAATTATTTTTAAAAGCACAGTTTCAGAACACTTTGATTTTATATTTTTAAGATTTCTTAACTCAATCTTTGCTTTCTGTAAATCAGAAGGATTTTAGGAAGCTTTTGTAAAGTTCTGTTGATTCAAGTTAGGGTAAGTGTTAGCAAAGTGAGGTCACTTCAGTTAATCAATGGGTAGAAACTAAAGCATATATTTCTTTTTCTCCCCTTTTCATTCCAATTACTTTTAAAATATTTCCATAAAATGCTAATATAGCAAAATAAAACCCTAAGCCACCTCTGTTTTGGGGTACTGAGGGAGAAAACTCAATCAGTGGCTTCTAGGATAGAACTAATCTTGACTACAGCTGGAAGACATACATAATACACATGCACACATGTGCATTGGCACACTCCATTATGCACACACATTCTTCATATTTATCATATGACAAATATTAAATGTGTCTTATGACACAAAAGTTGCTAAGATATTACAATAAGCAAGCCAAATGAAAACTAAGATTTCGAAGAATATGCCAGTGTTACAGAAATCGTGCTTTTGCTAAAGTTGTTGAAGAGACTTAATACTCAAGTACCTTCTTCTGTTTAAAAAATTACTTGATAGAAGATTGCACAGTGGGCATCTTTGATCATAATAACTTATGCTTTGTCTTGTTTTAAAATAACCCAAAATAAACACATTCAGAAAAATTTATATTAGAAAATAAGATAAAATAAAAACAAATAAATGAGGAAATTGCTGTAATATAAAAATATAAGGAATATGAAAAATATATACATTAAGATAAATCCAAAAAGGAGGTTTGTTCATACAATGTCAAATCTTTTACGTTTGAATAAAAATTTGTTTCAGGACCTTAGCAGCTAGCAGCAACATAGTAGTTAACCACATTTATAGTGCTCAATTAGTTTACATGTGGAGCATATCATATATGAGGAGTTTATTAAGTATTAACTCTTACACGAGCACAAAAAGCTGCCTACAAGCTGAGCAGTGAAGAGGGCCAGTTTGAGTCCCAAAACTGATGAACTTGGACCTCAATGTAAAAGGGGAGGAAGCATCCAGCATGGGAGAATGATGTGGGCTTGGAGCTAGGCCTATTTCTCCTTTTCACATTTTTCTGCCTGCTTTATATTCACTATAAGCTGATTATATTGTGCCCAGTAGATTAAGGTAGATCTGCCTTATTCAGCCCACTTACTCAAATGTTAGTTTTTTGGGGGAAACACCCAATAAACACACCCTGGATTAGTACTCTGTATCCCCCAATCCAATGAAGTCAACACTCAGTTTTAACTATCACAACTCCACTTCTTGTCAAGTTGAACCCATACACATCTCCTAAGATCATACATAATCTTCAAATAAAGACAGTAATGAGGTCATAATTACACCTAACATAATACAACTATCCTTTGTACAACCAGGAGCATCCCAATCCTCAACCCAAATACTATTATGTAAAGTTAAGAATACTTCAGTACTAATGTGAGGCCAATGAATCTTATGTCAAATGATAAAGAAAATGAAAAATAAAGGTATTTGTACATGTGTATACAGGCACAAACATTTTTTTAACAAAAGGAGGAACTACTTAGGGCAATTAAAGTCCTCATTTCTGCAGCTGGTCATGTGGTCATAGCTGGTATTGATGACCACCTTATTCTACCAACTTTTCTGTGTTTCTTTTGCCTTCAGCAAGCACCTAAGCAGGTGTTGTTTGTTCTTTTTTCTTTTCTTTTTTTTCCTGGTGGAGTGACCCAAACCTTAATTCCCGAAGAGTCTGGACCATTTGTATTCCTGTCATGATTAGGCTGCTGTAGTTATCCACTGACCTTAATCACAGGGCATGTTAATATTAACAGGCACCCTGATGGATTTCCTATATTACATGCTTACTCTTCCTTGCCTCCACTGTAGAGTAGTAGACTGATTTTATCTTGATAGTTCAGGTCAATCACCACAGCCAAAACTGTAACTCCTTTCTTAGCATGATAGCTGAAAAGTAGGAGGATCCCAAAATGCTAAGGGGGCAATCTTAACTTCCAGTTTAATGGAATCATTCAATGGATCCCATTCAGGATGATGAGAAACATGGTGAGACCAGTGAATTCCATAATCAGAAGCCTACTGCCACAATTCTTTAGTCATAAAGTGGGTGCCTTGGTCAGAGCCAATGTTTTGTGGAATAACATGATGGTGGATAAGGCATTTTATGAGTCCACAGATGGTAGTCTTGGCAGAAACATTGCATGCAGGATAGGAAAACCCATATCCAGAATAAGTGTATATTACTTTGAGTACTAACCTCTTCCCTTTCCATAATGGAAGAGGTCAAATGTAATCAACATGCCATCAGGTAGCTGGCTGATTACCCTACAAAAATGGCACCATATTGAGGGCTCAGTGTTTGTCTCCATTGCTGGCAAATGGGGAATTCATCAGTGTCCATACCCAAGTCACCCTTGGTAAATAAAAGTCCATTTTGCAGAGCCCATGCATAACTTCCATCCCTGCCATCATAGACGCTTTGTTTATGGGCCCATTGGGTGATGACAGGAGTGGCTTGGGACAGAGTCTGAGTGGTGTCCACAGAACAGGTCATTCTATCCATTTGATAATTAAATTCCTTCTCTGCTGAGGTAACCTGCTGGTGAGCACTCACGTGAAACATAAATATCCTCAGTTTCTGACCACTCAGAGAGGCCCCTGCACATACCTTTTCCCAAAATTGCTTTGTCACCAATTTTCTAATCATGGTTCTTCCAAGTTCCTGATCATCCAGCCAAACCATTTGCTATAGCTAAAGAATCAGTATATAATCATACATCTGTTTGAAGTTCTGCCCATTGGGAAGATTTCCCTTTACCACTGTCTTTTAGGAACATCCTAAAAAGGAGCTGTAGTGCTGCAGCTGTCTAATTTCAGGCGGTGGCTGCATATTGTGCAGAACCAAATGGAACCTGGCCATAGTCTTCTCTCATTTTGTCAGTTGATCATAGGGAAATCCTCTTGAGACCATGATTGCAAGTTGAAGGAGAAAAGGCAGGGTGGCAGGAGTGGAGACATGGACTTTTGATCCACTTCCTTATATAACTTACTTGTTCTTTCAGGACCTGTTCAAGCATGGTCACATATATGCCACTTCCATTTGGTGATGAAATGCTGCTGTGCACAACCCATTTTGTGGCTAGATGGTTAAGAAATCAAGCACTTCATGATAGGCCATTTAGTTCATATGGTGACTTGATGACCCATAGTCAAACGTTCAGTTTCCAACAAAGTCCAGTAACAGGCCAAGAGCTGTCTCTCAAAAGGAGAACAGTTATTTGCAGAACATGATGGAGCTTTTCTTCAAAACACTTGAGACCAATCCTGTGATTCACCTGTGGGAGCCTGGCAAGGCCTCCAGACAGCAACCTTATCTACCAATGATGCCTTAAGCACCATTAGATCTGCTGGGTCATATGGCCCAAGTGGCAGAGAAGCTGGCATGGCATCCTAGAACTGCAGCAGATCTTCCTCCTGTTCTGGACACTACTCAATACTGGCAGGCTTTCAGGTCACTAAATAAATGGGCCAGAGTAAGATACTTGAATGAGAAATGTGTTGCCTCCAATATCCAAATAGGTTCCCTAGACATTTTGCCTCTTTCTTGGTTGTAGGAGGTGCCTAATGTAGCAACTTGTTATTTACCTTATAACACCTAGAAATTTTACTGAGATAAAGTGTCCCTGAAATTTAGTCAGATTTATTTCCCATTCTCTGGTACAAAAATGTCTCATAAATAAGTCCAGTGTGTTTGCTACTTCTTGTTCACTGGGTAAAATCTGCATAAAGTCATCAATGTAATGGACCAGTGTGCTATCTTGCAGAAGCCAAAAGCAGTCAAGAGCTCTTTAAATAAGATTATGACACAGAGAGAGAGAGTTGATATACCCCTGTGGTAGGACAATAAAGGCATATTACTGGCCTTGCCAGCTGAAGGCAAATTGCTTCACGTGAGCCTTATGGACAGGAATGAAGAAAAAGGTATTTTCCCCAAGTGAATTATTGCATACCAAGTACCAGGAGATGTATTAATTTGCTCAAACAATAAAACCACATCTGGTACAGCAGGTACAATTGGAGTCACCATGCAGTTAAGCTTACGGTAATCTGCTATTATTCTCCAAAATCCATCTGTCTTCTGCATCAGACAAATGGGAGAGTTGTAAGAGGATGTGTTGCTAATTACCACTCCTATGCCTTTCAAGTCCTTGATGGTGTCACTAACCTTCACAATCTCTCCAAAAAATTGATATTGTTTTTGATTTACTATTTTTCTAGGCATAGGCAGCTCTACTGGCCTCCATTTGACCTTTCCCATTATACTAGCTCTACCCTACAAGTCAGGGAGCAAATGGTGGATTCTGCCAGCTGCTAAGTATGTCTATGCCAATTATGCCTATGCCAATTATGCATTCTGGCACTGGGAAAAGGACCACAGAATGAGTCTAGGGACCCATTGAACCCCTTCTAAGTCTGACTGAAGCTAAAACTTTATTAATTACCTGACCTTCATAAGGTCCTACTTTAACTGAAGGACCACAGTGATGTTTTTTGTCCCCTGGAATCAACATCAACTCATAGACTGTGTCCAGCAGTCCCTGAAAAGTCTGGTCATTTCCCTTTCCACATCAGGATACAATTATTCCCATTGTGTTTAAATTTGGTAGTTTAGTTACTGTAGTTTCCACCCTTAGATCTGACATACAGAGAAGAAAAATTACAGGCCTCTTCAAAGATGCAGGCTCTGATCTCACAAGTCTATTTCACAAGGGACTGATCAAGGGTGTATCTTTTGAACCCTCCCAACTGGGGTGAGTATGTCTAAAGTGACAAATCCACTCCACCATCCAAATCTCCCTAGGCCTTTGGATGTCTTCCTTTACATTAAACCAATAAAGAGCAGACATTTATAGCCCACTCACAGTAGGCCATCTTTTTATTTATATTTCATTTAATCAAGCAAATAAATTATTAGAACTTGTTTTAAACTCCTTGAGCTGCAGCTTTAAATGCAGAGAGCCTACTTAGTGAGCCCTGATCAATAAATTCAGCCTGACACAATTCTGGTTTTTTTTCCACTATTTTCTCATACCTATACTATCTGTTCCCATGCCTGTTCCCAGACTATTTATATACATTTGAAAACTCAAACAGTTCTTTTCATGTGTACCACACCTCCTCAGAGGTCACATTCTCAATCTCACCTCTAGGAGCCCACCAGAACTTTGTAGGGGTTCAGTCAGGATGGTGGGGAAAATTATAAGTCACAAACCTTCTTGCAAAGCCTGAAGGATTTTGTAAAAGTCTCAGGATAAGGTTATGGCTGAAGGCAAACTAATCCTTACCTTGAGTAGATAGGTTAAAGTGCATACAAAGGAAGGTAGGGTAGTTTATCTAACTGGCTTCTTTACTCATGTGGTAAGAAGACTAACTTTTGATCTACTGCAGGTGCTTAATTCCTTTCTACTTGGGAAGTCTGCAATGTCAATTACCCTCTAGTGGTGTTTACTCAGACCTTTGTCAATTAATCTTTACTGTACAGATGAAAGTCTTGCTGGCTGTTTGAGGCTGCAGTTGCAACTGTTTAGTGCATTCTGTGTGGATACTCTAAGTGGCCCAGATGCTTAGTTGAACTGACAAAGCAGAATATCTGTGTGTCAGTGTACTTTATTCATCCATCACTGAGTCAGGGTCTGCAAGACAGACCCCCACAGCCAGCACCCCCATGTGAAGAACATGGCAAAGGAGGTGCAATGGACCCCCTGAAAACAAAGGTTGAAGAAGACAGTGTGGTTAAGTCAGTAAAACAGGAAGTCATTGGTGTCCACTTGGGATTTCCAAGTTCGGAGGGGATTGGTCAGGCTGAGGTTTCATCATGGGACAATAGTTACCAGCTCTACAGAAACAGTATATAAAATGTTGAAATAGTTGCTTAATGCTACCAGAGCATCAGCTTCATGGACTCACTTAAGAAAACTAATGCAAACTACTGTCTCACATAATCCATGGTTCCCAGAAGAAGGAATGCTAGAGGTAGAACTCTGGTAACAGGTGGGGAGAAATCTTAAACAGCATGATGCACAAGGGCAATGGGTCCCAGTATCATCTTTAACACTATGGGCCCCTGTAAGGATGGCTTTAGTCTCATTATACACAGAAGAGCCTAAAAAGGGGAAGAAGGAGAAAACGTTACTTGCCGTATTGCCTCTCCTGGTGAATCAGGTGGCCAGGCAAAATATAACAGCTGATATGCTCCAGGGAAGGGGTCCTCATGCCGATGTGCAATAAAAACTAAATTTTGATCTCCAGGCTTATGCTGATGTCCCTCTGTGTGCTCTCAGGGCTTGGGACCAAATTCCTGAAAGCAGAATTCAGCAGGGATCTTTTGTAAATGTTTGACAAGGGCCTCAGGAGCCATTTGTTGAGTTTATCAATCAGTTAACCCAGGCAATTAAGAGACAAATTAGTCATGCCCAGGCCACTGATATCTTATCATTGCAACTGGTTTTTGAAAATGCTAATGTGGATCGCCAGCAGGCAATGCAGGCAATCAGAGGAAAGGCCACCACTGTTGGGGAGCTAATACCAGCATTTCAGCTGGTAGGAACTGAGATACACAAAGCCAAAATATTGGCTATGGCATTAAGGCCTCCTAAAGTGAAAAGGGAGAGAGATCAAAATTGTGTTTATGAGGAGAGTCAGGCCATATGTCAAGGGAATGTCCCCATAGTAAAGATCAAGGTAACTAAGGGAGAGAATCCACCTCTTTATGTCCCCGAAGTAGGAAGGGGAAGTATTGGGCAGATCAATGCAGGTCTAAATTTGATAAAAACAGCAACTCCATAAGAAACCATTCAGAAACTTCATGAGGGATCAGCTCCAGGCACCACTCCCAACTGGGGCAATGCCAGAAGCTTTCCTTGGTCAAATGGGAAGCCCATAGTCTTCTCTTTCAGAGCAGCCACAACTGGGAGCACAGGACTGGACTTACTCTGCCCCAGTGAATTAGTGCTAAAAGAAGAAGACTCTAAAAGTTTTGCAATTGGGATCTGGGGCCCGGTGCCTCTGGGAACAGTGGGGTTAGTCCTAGGGCAGTCTAGCCTACCCAGTCAAGGAATTAATGTGCCCAATGGGGTAACTGATAGTGATTATCAGGGTGAGATATTGGTTATGATGGAATGTAAAGGTCTGCATATTCCTCCCCCTGGATCAAAGATAGCTCAGTTACTGATTTTACCATACTGGGTCCTCAATGCCCATGGAAAGGAAAAGCGAAAGGGATGCTTTGGATGCACAGGAGCCATGAGAGTGTATTGGAATCAATTAATCACTGATCAGAGACCCATGATTACTTTTAAAAATTGGACATAAGAATTTTACTGGCTTATTGGGCACAGGAGTGAACATTTTAATCATTAGTGATCAGAACTGGCCAGAAACTTGGCCTTGGATCACTCAAAAACAGAAAATTTCTGCATCTACAAAGTGCACACAGCCAAGCAGAGCATGCTTCCCATAACATGCTGCGATTCTGAAGTAAGAACAACAGTTATACAACCTCTAATCATGCCCATCCTGTTAATCTTTTGGGGCAGGACCTATTAGCCCAGTGTGTGTGAGGAGATCACTCTGCATACCCCTTTATGACAATGGCCACTGTTGTTATTCCTCCTCTACCCCTGACATGTGTCTCTCAAGATCCGATTTGGGAAGAATAGTGGCCTCTGAAGTGAGACAAATGACAGAAGGCTCATGAATTAGTTGAAGAGAAATCGAAGGCTGGGCATATCAAATCTCTCACAGCCCCTGGAATTCACCCATTTTCGTCATTCCCAAAAAGTCTGGGAAATAGAGAATTTTGCATGACTTACATGCTATTAATGCTAATTTACAGCCTATTGGGCCCCTTCAACAGGGCCCCCCTTCCTCCACTTTGATTCCTCAAAATTTGCCTGTAATCATTATTGACTGAAAAGATTATTCTCATACAATTTCTCCAGGACAGAGAAAAAATTGTGTTTACCATATCAGCTATCAATAATGAAAAGCCAGCTTGTTGATTTCACTGGAAAGTGCTTCCCCAAGGAATGCTAAACTGTCCTACCTTGTGTCAGTATCATGTAAATCAAGCTTTGCTCCCTGGTAGAAGAGAGTTTTCTGATTGCAAGATTAATATTTTTATGGATGATATTCTACTTGCAGCCCCAATGGAGCCAATATTTTTAAATTTATATTACTCTGTCATAAAGCATACACAGCTAAGAGATTTAATCGTTCCACCTGAGAAAGGACAGATGTCTTCTCCTTGGAAATATCCTGGGTACATACTAACTTCCCTGTCAGTAAGATCTCAAAACATTAAATTAAATACTAGCAAGTTACACATCTTAAATGATTATCAAAAATTTCTGAGAGACATTAATTTGCACCACCCCACTTTGAAGATTTCTACTGATAAACTACAAAACCTATATTCTATCTTAAAGGGCAATCCAGCCCTAGATTATCCCAGATATTTAACCTCTGCAGCAAAAAGGGAAATCAAGGAACTAGAACTAGAACTACATCAAAAAGAGAAATCAAGGAAATAGAACTCGCCATCTCTCAGAGGCAGCTAGATCACATAGTCCCAGGCTTTATGGTACATGCTGTTTATCTTTCCCAGCAAACACTCCCCTAAAGGGTTAATAGGACAAATGGTCCCTGGGCTATTCTTCCTAGAATGGATTTTTTGCTCATATAATGGGACTAAAACACTATCTCCCTATATTTAGTTAATTACTAAAGTCATCTATTCAGGCTGCAAATGATGTAATAAGTGGCTAGGTTCTGATCCTGATGTCATCAGGATTCTTTTAACTAAAAAGCAATTTGAAGCAGTATTGCCATTATTGATAGATCTGCAAATAGCTTTCTCTGATTACACAGGACAAATAGAGCACATCCATCCTTCTGATCAACTCCTTCATTTATTATCTCATATGCTGGTAATTTTGCCCACAGAAAGAGGTCAATCCCCATACCTCATGCTTTAACACTGTTTACAGATGGGTCTGGTAAACATGGAAAAGCAGCAGTATGGTGGAGACCACACAATTCAATCACTTGATCTGGGTTTGCTAGCACTCAGAGAGCTTAGATTGGGGCTCTGCTACTGGCCTTGGAAACTTTTTGCACTCAGGCCATAAGTAGTGTACGTGACTGTGCATACTCTATTTACTACAAAACCTTGAGAGACCTTAATTAAGTCCACTCTGGGCCCAGACCTGTGTGCTCTTTTTCTTTGACTTTAGCAATTGCTTGATCAACATACATATCCTATTTTTATTACAAACCTTCGAGTCCACAGCTCACTGCCTGGCCCATTGACTTATGGCAATAATGAAGCAGACTTTCATGTTATGACATTACTGCTTAACCAAGCCACCCAATTGCATCAATTTTGCCACCAAAATTGGAGAAACTTATCTAAATAATTTCCACTTACTCACAGAGTGGTAAAAAAAATTATCCTACAATGCACAGATTGCCACCTCATAGGCACATTTCCTACTTCAACAAGTGTTAACCCTGGAGGACTAGAGCCTAATCAGTTATGGCAAACAGATGATACATACATCCCTGAATCTGGAAAACTAAGATATGTACATGTATCCATTGAGACCAACACGCATTTAATTAGTGCACATGCTCTGCCTGGAGAGTCAACTCAATATGTCATTAAACATATTCTTTTCACTTTTGCATTTATGGGCTGACCCACAAAAATTAACACTGATAATCTCCAGCTTATGTCAGCTCACAATTTCAACAATTTTGTCACACATGGAGCATCCAGTATTCCACCGGCAGGCATTCCATATAACCCCAAAGACAAGAAATAGTAAAACATGCCCACTCCTCCCTTAAAAATACGATCAAATAAAAGGGTGGGGGGAGTATGGGTAAAGACCCTTCAATGCTATTGGCATAAAACCTACAGTTTTATGGAAAGATGTAAACAGTAATGAATGGTGCAGTCCTAGGGAATTATTAACCTGGGGAAGAAGGTATGCTTGTGTCCACACCCCCTCAGGTCCTCTTTGGATTTCAGCATGACACATCAAACCATACCATGGCATGACTAGGACCCAACCCAGTATCAGGAATAAATGAGTGAATCCTGAAAGATCCACAGCCCCGGATGATGAAGTTAACATGAATGACACAAGTGCCAGACATTACCTGGGGGATGCTGAAGAGGACAACTCAGGTGGCTGAACAAATCCTCCTCCAGACATAGACACTATTTACTCCAGAAAATTTGTTTCTTGCCATGCGTTCTGTTTTTCATTGCAACTCATGTAGGATATTAATCCTTTTCATGCTCTCGCTTTGTCTGCAAACTGCACCTACTAAATTTATTGAGCTTATATCTTAAACCAGCCTTTTTTTCACCTGGGCAGACACTTCGTTTACAGCCTATAATAACATGACTCCTTCACTAGGAGGGATAGATTTACCCCCATGGCACCCCTCAATAATGGCACACATTGGACTAAGGTGCCAAATAATACTACATATCACTCCACTATCCTCCCACTGTGTGTAAGTTATAAAGGCCCTAACACTTACTGTGTACCTGCCCAAATACAAGTATGGCTACATCATGGCAAAAGAAATGCCTTAACATTCTTAGCTGCAGGAAGCCTTAATCCAGGCAATGCAATCAATGCCACTTTCCCAAACATTCCTTCCTGTACTAAAGAAAAAAGCCAGGAAAGTAATGGATTCCACTTTAGCTGGGAGGTCTGTCACAGGAAACAAGCCCATAGCTTCTGGTTAGGCAATTATAACATCCTAGACTTGAGCCCCCACCGCCTATTGCAGGGCAGTCTTACTAATGTCTTCTTCCATCATAGCAACAATCATAGTTTCATAACCATATATCTTTCCCCTATAATTTGGGCCAATGGGGGGATGGAATATTCCAGACCCCAAGTAAAGTCCATGACACCCCAAGTCACCTTATGGTGCCTGGTACATCTCAGCACCTCCCTTAACACTTGGCATGGTACCTATCATAATTCCAGTCGCAACCAGGTGCAGTGGCTCATGCTTGTAATCCCAGCACTTTGGGAGGCCAAGGAGGGTGGATCATGAGGTCAGGAGATTGAGACAACCCTGGTTAACATGGTGAAATCACGTCTCTACTAACAATACAAAAAAATTAGCCAGGCATGTTGGCAGGTGCCTTTAGTCCCAGATACTTGGGAGGCTGAGGCAGGAGAATGGCGTGAACCTGGCAGGCAGAGCTTACAGTGAGCTAAGATCATGCCACTGCACTCCAGCCTGGGCAACAGAGCGAGACTACATCTCATAATAATAATAATTATAATAATTCCAGTTGCAACTATACTATAACCTTTGTTCATAATTACACTGATTACTGCCTTTGTTCATAATCACACTGATTAGATATATTATGATCACCAATCACAATATATCTAATTTCAAAATTACTTGTTGTGGGAAGTCAGGGACCCCAAATGGAGGGATCTGCTGAAGCCATGGCAGAAGAACATGGATTGTGAAGATTTCATGGACATTTATTACTTCCCCAAATTAATACTTTTATAATTTCTTATGCCTGTCTTTACTGCAATCTCTAAACATAAACATAAATTCCAAAGATTTCATGGACAGTTATCACTTCCTTGATCAATACCCTTGTGATTTCCTATGCCTGTCTTTACTTTAATCTCTTAATCCTGTCAGCTGATGAGGGTATATGTCGCCTCAGGACCATGTGATAATTGCCTCAACTGCAAAAATTGTGAGCATGTGTGTTTGAACAATATGAAATCTGGCCATCCTGAAGAAAGAACAGGATAACAGCAATTGTTCAGGGAATAAGAGAGATAACCTTAAACTCTGACCACCAGTGAGCCAGGCAGAACAGAGCCATATTTCTCTTCTTTCAAAAGCAAATGGGAAAAATATTGCTGAATTCTTTTTCTCAGCAAGGAACATCCCTGGGAAAGAGAATATGCACCTGGAGGTATAGGCCTATAAATGGCCCCCTTAGGTGCTCCTGTCTCTTATGGTCAAGGCTGTAGGGGTGAAATAGACCCCAGTCTCCCATAGCACTCCCAGGCTTATTAGGAAGAGGAAATTACCACTTAATAAATTTTTGGTCAGACCATTTGCTCTCAAAACCCTGTCTCCTGATAAATTGCTGTCAATGACAATGGTGCCCGAAACTTTATTAACAATTTTAATTTCACCCTGGTCCTGTGGTCCTGTGATCTTGCCCTGCCTCCATTTGCCTTGTGATATTCTATTACCTTGTAAAGTACTTGATGTCTGTGACCCACACCTATTCGCACACTTCCTCCCCTTTTGAAAATCCCTCATAAAAACTTGCTGGTTTCTGTGGCTTGTGGGACATCACAGAACCTACCGACATGTGTTGTCTCCCCCAGATGCCCAGCTTTAAAATTTCTCTTTTTTGTACTCTGTCCCTTTATTTATCAAGCCAGCTGACACTTAAGGAAAATAGAAAAGAACCTACATGAATACTGGGGCAGGTTCCCCAATAATTACTAGTGTCATGGTATTAAGGAGACAATCTGAGGCATTCCTACCAGTCAATCTGACATGCAATTGGCAAAGTTCCTCTGCCATTTCCACCTTAGAATATGCTCTGTCCCAGGACAGACACAAAATGTTTACAGTTACACTTATGGCCTTTATATTCTCAGCCGTAGTTATCCTGGCAACTGCTAGCATTGCTGTTGCATCTATTACTGAGTCAGTAAAAATAGCTGCCTTTGTAGATAATCTGGCCAAAAATGTGTCTAATGAATTCTCTTTCAGCAAGATATAGATAAAAAAAATCCTTGCATGTCTGCGAGCCCTCAAGGCTACTTTAAAATATGCAGGGGAACGACAAGATCTACTGGCATTCTGAAAGCAATTAAGGGAACATAAACATCTCTATGTCACTTCTCTACCATGGACTTAATCTATACATTGCTGAGATGAGGTAGAACAGCATCTCTGGGGAACTTTTCATGACAATTTAACAGCAGTTTTAAGCCAACTTAAAACTAACATTTTAGAATCCCTTCACACCATAGACCTACACACACAACAAACAGCCACAAGGAAGGGTGTGCAAGATCATTTCTCCTAGTTAGACCCCCACTCCTGGGGGTCACACTTTGACTGGAAAAGAATGCTGCTAATTGTACTCATGATTGTTTTTTATTGTTTGCTAATTCTAAGATGCAAAGTTAGAATAAGAGTAATGACTGCCAGGACTGCCACACCTGACAGACTGGTTGCTGACATACCTATGCTCTCCAATTAAGAAAACCTGATGCAGAAAACAAAAAAGTGGGAGAGGTAGCAGATTGATCAAGATGGTGGGGACAATTATAAGCCACAAACCTTCTTGGAAAGCCTAAATATATTTGTAAAAGTCTGAGGATAAGGTTATGACTGAAGGCAACCTAATCCATACCTTGTGTAAATAGCTTAAAGTGGGTACAATGGAAGATAGAGTAGTTTACCTAACTAGCTTCTTTACTGGTGTGGTCCTAAGACTAACCTTTGATCTAATACTGCAGGTGCTTAATTGCTTTCTACTCAGAAACTCCACGATGTCAATTACCCTCTAGTGGTGTTTACTCATGAGCTTTGTCAATTAGTCTTTACTGAATAAGTACCAGTCTCATTAGCTGGTCAGGACTGTTTACAGCCCCTGGTCACAACTGTTTACAGCACTCTGCATGGAGTCTGTAAGTGGCCCAGATGCTCAGTCGAACTGGCAAAGCAGAATATCATGCATCAGTGTACTTTATTCATCTGTTGTTGGGTCAGGGTCTGTGGGACAGACCCCTGCAGAACTTGAGTCTAGTTATAGGTCTAGAAGTAAACAGAGGTGTCAGGGTGGATTCTGAGGAGAATCAACATTATAGTGCCCGGCAACTGACTCAGGGGAGGCCATCACTGTTGCCTCAGCTAGCTCAGGCTTTATATCTTCAGACAGAAATGGAAAGGCTGAAGGCAGCATGTACCTCTTTCTTTCTTGATGCAGAACAACAGCTTTAGTTCTGTTGAATGCCAGGGCTGAATGACCTGCAACACAAACAGGGATAAAACTTGCCCCTTGCTCATCACATTGTGGAAGACAAAGATAAGAGGAGAACGGTGACCTTTCAGACCTAAGGGCTGGCTGTGACACCTTCTTTGGGACTTTGCAGTTTCTGGAATCTCCATGCTTCTG
This sequence comes from Homo sapiens, assembly GCF_000001405.40. Classification (NCBI taxonomy): domain Eukaryota; kingdom Metazoa; phylum Chordata; class Mammalia; order Primates; family Hominidae; genus Homo; species Homo sapiens. Next base: position 9,207,470 of record NC_000024.10, on the reverse strand, counting down.
GGCACCACTACATTTCCCAGTATCAGCTGTGGAAGCTGCTTACAGTATTCCTGTTCCAGCTGCAGCTTCTCCTTTCACTGGTACTTTTGTTGGCACCTAACACTTTCTGCCCTCTCACACCTGGCAAGCCTGGCTGTGTTTTGTGGCTGGAGCCCATGCTTGCTCATACACCACTCACCACACACTCATGCTTGCCCTTGGCTGGTGTTAAATCTTGGCCCATAATGGAAGCTGAGTGCAGCCCGTCAGGCAGACTGGGTAGAACAAGCTTAGCAGGTCTGAGCAAAACTCAGGCACAAGCACCATTGGCCATAAAGGATTTCATCTGGCAAAATGACTCCCCAAAAATTCCATGATAAAAGAAGCATAGCTAGTTGTGCCTTACTTCTCTTGGATCTTGAAATACAGATAATTCTGTGAACTACATTTTGGTAGTTTTAACCTTATTAGGAAATTATTATTACATTTCAAAATTTTTAAAAAATCAAATTTGAAAGTTGGCATTAGCATTGAACCACCTGATCCCTCTTACACAGAAATATATAATGTGAGAATATGTTTCTGAACTATATGGCATTGGGCTTCAAGTTAGCATCTTTCTAGGAGATTATGAAGCTTCTTGAGGAGACAGAATTTCTGATACCTGGACTTTGGCATTTTGTACTCATATAATTTTGTGGGGGAGAAGCTTTTGCTGTGCATTGTAGGATGATTAGCAGCCTGGGAAGCCTGAGCAGCCTTTCTGGCCTTTTCCACTAAGTGTAATAGTGACATCCTTTTTCTGTGGTTGAAATACTCAAATACGTTTGTGTCTTGTGGAAGCAGAACTGTTGACAGTTACAATTCTACAGAGTTCTGAAGAAGAAATTAAAAAAAAAAACACTTTAAAAATTTTTTCAATGGCTTCTCATGGTGGCTCACACCTGTAATTCCAGCACTTTCAGAGATCGAGGCAGGAGGATCACTTCAGATCAGGAGTTTCAAACCAGTCTGGCCAACATTGTTGAACCCCATCTCTACTAAAAATACAAAAATATACATAAAAATAAAAAAAACTTAGCTGGCACCTGTAATCCCAGCTACTTGGGAGGCTGAGGCAGGAGAATTGCTTGAACCCAGAAGACGGAGGTTAGAGTGAGCTAAAATTGCCCCACTGCACTTCAGCCTGGATGACAAGAACAAAACCCATCTCAAAAAAAGATGAAATTTTGCAGAAATTTTATGTGAGATCTCATTTTTCTCTTACTTTTACTAATTACTAGGGAAATGCAAATCAAAACTGCGATGAGGTATCATCTGAGGCCAGTCAAAATGATGATTACTAAAAACCCGAGAAACAATAGATGGTAGTAAAGCAGTGCAGTAATAGGAATGCTTTTACACTGTTGTTTACAGTGTAAATCAGTACAGACATTGTGGAAAAGTGTGTGATAATTCACCAAGTGTCTAGAACCAGAAATACCACTGGACTCAGCAATTTCATTACTGGGTATGTAGCACTCACACACACAAAAAAGTCATTCTATTTTAAGACTACATGCATGTGTACGGTTATTGCTTTACTGTAGCAAAGACATGGAATTTATTCAAATGCCCATCAATGACAGAATGGATAAAGAAAGTGTGACACATATACATCATGAAATTATATGCAGCCATAAAAAGGAAGGAGATCATGTCCTGTGCAGGGAGATGAATGAAGCTGGAAGCCATCATTTTCAGCAAACTAACACAGAAACAAAAAAACAAAGACTGCATTTCCACCTTCTTATGAGGGTCTGAAGTTTGAAGACACATAGACACAGGGAGGGGAATGCCACATATCTGGTTATGTCATGGGGCAGGATAAAAAAAGAGCTTCAGGACAAATAGCTAATTAATGTGGGGCTGAATACCTAAATGATGGATTAATAGGTGCAGCGAACAATCATGGACATGTTTATCTATGAAATAAACCAGCATGTCCTGCATATGTACCCTGGAACAATAATAAATAAAATTATAAAAAGCAAAATTAAATAAATTAACTAAAAATAAAAAGGCTTTCTTTTTGTACAGGTGATGTTGGAGTAACTTTGAAATGTGTGTCACACATAATTTAAGACATTTTGTTACTACAAGTCAGAGTTGTCACAAACTTAGTTAATTGAATTTCTTTTCTTTTATTTTTAGAATGGAATCTCACACTGTCCCTTCGGCTGGAGTGCAGTGGTGCAGTCTTGGCACACTGAAATCCCCTGGTTCCCAGGTTCAAGTCATTATTCTGCATCGCATCTTGATACCTGAGATTGCAGGAGTGCACCACCGCAGCTGATAGGGCCTATCACCATATTGGCCAAGCTTGTCTGAAGCTTCTGACCTTTCTTGGCCTTCAAATGCGCTGGAATTACAAGTGTGAGCCACCATGCTAGTCCCTTCATTGAATTTCTAATTGAGAAAAAATCCCTCTTGAAAACTTTAGTTTTTTTATATCATATTTTTGATGAGTTTCTTTATATGTTTCATAATTCAAGAAAAATAATATAATTTAAATTCATTTTCTTTTTATTGGAAATAAATTTATTTCAATTAATATATAGTTAACAGAGAAGATTAATTTAGAATGTTATTTTTCTTTTGGATAAAGTCAGATTTCAGAAATTTTAAAAAATCTAACTTGGGAAACTAATTACGTTTATTGATTATGGTCACTTTTTTTAGGATTGGCTTCTGTAAGAAAATTCAAAATTGTTTCAAGATATAATGAGATGTTTAATTTTGTCAAATAAACTTTAAATGTATTTTCTTTGAAAAAAACATATTTTCTTAACCTATGTTTTCTACTAATAAATGTGATAACTTTTTCTAACTCACTAGAAATTAATTAATGTTTTCATTTTCCCTGCATCAAAAATTTACTTGCAATATATAAGAAGTAAAGAACTGCCAGCAGAGCAGGTGGTTCTAGCATAGCTCACACGCTACGATCAATGCTGGTTTTCAGCTGCTTGTACCACGAGTTATTGGCTGTCTAAAAAAACCTCAAAAAGATAGTAGACTGACTGAAATACATTACATAGACAAAGCAATAACTAGTGGGTATTTTAAATTATAAAGCTGCTTTTGCTCACTAATAATAGTTTTGTTTAAAATTCTATTTTTTCATTTAGAAAAAATTAACTCACGGGTTTTTTGTTTTGATCAAGTTTAACATTCTGTAGCCATCAGGTATATAATTAAAACAATTTAAGTCAGAGAATATAAATTTTTTAAAAAATATGTATTTCTTAAATGCTCCCCTATATTTAGTTTTGGTAACTTGCCACAGTGAGTTTTATTTAATCATATGTGAAAAAAATATTGAAACTTTAGAGTAACAAGTGAACTTTAATGCTACAAAACTTTATATTTAAAGTGTATTCATTAAAAAGATCTTCTAAATCCAAACATTGAAGTTACTTAATGTTATTTTAGTTAAATTCTAAGAGAGGTATAGCTTTAAAAATCATAATGTGAGAAGAGAACCTTTGATTGCACTTTATTACTTCTAAATGTTCACATCAGTCTAACAAAGTGACTAGCAATGTTCAAATCTTACACAGAACTCAAAATCAGGGAGGGAGGTAATATAAGTAAATTAACAAATAATAACATACAATTTAGTTTATTTCAAGAGAAAACTGAGGGTTAAGAATATAATTAGCAGCATTCCTTACAGATTTTTAATTGGTAAATGTTAATTTTTTATATTTGTTTATTTTTTCTCTGAGTATATTTTCTAGCACATTGCTGTAGTTTCTAGCTGAACTCACTGCTTAAGAGGACAGATATTTATTTGTCTTGGGGGCTCTATGTAGACAGCAGAGTTTTCTGCTTGAAAACATCTTTTTTGTTAATTTATGTAACAATTGCATTGACATCATATATATATGAATGAATATATGTACATACATACACATATGTATATATACATACATATATACATATATACACACATATGTCTGTGTATATATCCACATATATGTGAAAAAATATATGTGTGAAAATGTGTGAAAAATATATATATGTGTAAAAATATATATGTGAAAAATATATATGTGTGAAAAATATATATGTGAAAATATATACATAAATATAAATTATATATATATATATATATATATATATATATATATTTTTTTTTTTTTTTTTTTTTTTTTTTTTTTTTTTTTTTGAGACAGAGTCTCACTCTGTTGCCCAGGCTGGAGTGCAGCGGCGCGATCTCGGCTCACTGCAAACTCTGCCTCCTGGGTTCACGCCATTCTCCTGCCTCAGCTTCCCGAGTAGCCGGGACTACAGGCGCCCGTCACCACTCCCGGCTAATTTTTTGTATCTTTAGTAGAGACAGGGTTTCACCGTATTAGCCAGGATGGTCTCGATCTCCTGACCTCGTGATCCGCACGCCTCGGCCTCCCAAAGTGCTGGGATTATAGGCATGAGCCACAGCGCCTGGCCATAAATATATATTTGAAAAAGAAATTTTTCTTAAACCACCATTCCTGTTGTTAAACTATTTAGTCAATGTTTTCTTGTGTTTAACATACATTTAAAAATGTACAAGAAGATGGCCGGTAGCGGTGGCTTACGCCTGTAATCCCAGCACTTTGGGAGGCCGAGAGGGGGTGGATCACGAGGTCAGGACAGCGAGACTATCCTGGCTAACGCGGTGAAACCCCGTCTCTACTAACAATACAAAAAATCAGCCAGCGTCGTGGCGTGGGCCAGCTGCTAGGGAGATTGAGAAAGGAGAATACCATGAACCCAGGAGGCAGAGCTTGCAGTGAGCCGAGATCACGCGACTGCACTCCAGCCTGGGCAACAGAGTGAGACTTCGTCTCAAAAAAAAAAAAAAAATATATATATACACACACACACACACACACACACACACATATATATGTGTATATATATGTATATATGTATATATATGTGTATATCTGTATATATATGTGTGTATATATGTATATATGTATATATATGTGTGTATATATACATAGACACACCCACACATATATATGAATGAAGATGTGTATTAAAAGTTATTGACTTGCAGCCGATATTATATTTCTTATGCACAGATTATTTCTGCATATATACTACTCCATACATATAGCTTCTTTAAAGAAAGAAGTATGCAATATAAAATATTGCTAAATTTGTTTTATACTTAGTCACTCACGTGTCAATATATGAAGATCCATTTGTTTTGTAGCTTGCAGTTCAATGTGCTCCAAAATATGCAGTACACCACTAAGATGGATTGATGTGTAAGTTGTATTCAGTTTTACACAGAGAAGCATTTACAGTTCTTACAGTGATTTTTAAATACACCATCTCAACGACTTCATCTCACAATAAAACTGTGAATATAGACAAAGCAATTTTCACTATTTGCTGAAGAAGAAAGCAGAAATGTATGTGAAGATTATAGTTTTTATGAGTCAGAAAAATAATTTTAAATGAAGTGCTCAATTAAAACAGAAAATTCTAATGTTTTATTTATGTAAAGTTCTGATGACAGTGTTTTGAATACACTTACAGTGCACAAGTTTTTATAACTAAATTAATGATTAAAGCTAAGTCTGCGTTTAACACATGAAAATTTAATATTATACCATCTTACATGATTCTAAGAAAATGGTTACAGAAGCAATGTCTTTAAAAATGTTTACTTAACAAGTCTGTAGTAAAGGGCCTGTATAGTGGCTCAAGTTGCTGATGTAAAAGTTTAAAGTACTCTTTCAAAATTTCTGTCTTAGCCTGATAGAATGAATTTACCCAGCCTGATTAAGAGAACAATGGACAGAATCATTATTTTTGTAGCATAAGCATTTTTTTTCTTATCTCATCTTGTGAATCACTCAGTGTGTAGGAGTATCTGTCCCCTGTTGGGCCCTACCCACTAAAAGGATTTGTGGGATTCAAGCTGGTACTACCTGTCACATTAATTCTGTGATCTAGCAACTATACATAATCACCCTTGTCACAAACAATATTTCTGTAACTGAAAACACAGGTAGTGATACAGACAATTATGGTTCAAAGATGAGAAACAAAATGTGAGGTAAAAATTATTTTAAAAATATTCTGATAGCAGATACAGTTGTTCATTCTGAGATTACTGTGTTTTCACGAGATTTTTTCAGAACTGCATTTTGATGATACGGCTAGAATGTCTGCAATACCATCACTGGCATGTTTATCGCTTTCATTATCTAACAACTTGACAATATAGTTGATAATATTTATCACTTTTTTTCTTTATTTTCAAAGCACAGTTGATATAATCACATATGTATGATACGGTAAATGCAATTCAGTATGTGAAGAATTAGAAATCTTTATTTTTAATAATCATACGCATCTTTTTTTAAGTATTCTGGGTTTTTTTTTAAACTTTTATCCCATCTGTGTTAAATAAGTTGTGCTTATTTTTAGGATTCTATGTATATTTTTCTAAAATTAGGGATTTCTCTGCTACAGAAAAAAATTTGCTTTTCTAATAATGCTACGTAGACCTGTTAGCAACATTATATAACAATTACAATTAGGCTGCTAAAAGTATAAAAGCATTTGGTTAAAAATAAAAAATATCTGTTGAAAATAAAGCAGCATGCCAGGTGCTGTGGCTCCCGCCTATAATCCCAGCACTTTGGGAGGCCGAGGCGGGCGGATCACGAGGTCAGGAGATTGAGACTATCCTAGGTAACAGAGTGAAACTCAATCTGTACTAAAAAAAAAATACAAAAAAAAAAAATTAGCTGTGTGTGGTGATGGGCTCCGGTAGTCCCAGCTACTCAGGAGGCTGAGGCAAGAGAATGGTGTGAACCTGGGAGGCGGAGCTTGCATTGAGCCGAGATTACGCCATTGCACTTTAGAATGGGCAACAGAGCAAGACTTTATCTCAAAAAAATAAATAAATTAAGTAAATAGTACATAAATAAAAATAAAGCAGCAAAAAGTCACGTTTTAGTGGCAGATCACATTTTTAAGATATAGCTATTAAATAGGTGAATATAGAAAACTTGAATTTTGGAAATGTTTACACTCAAGTTGTTTACCATTCATTTATATTTTTCTATAGATATTGATAGAAATTAAATAGAGAAATTTGAATAATTAAACTGTAGTAAATGAGTCTTAAATTTCTACATTTCTTTCCCTCAGTGGTTAGAAATAGTTTGCCTTTCAAATAACATCTCAGCACTTTTCATTTATGAAGACTATAAAAAACACTGCCTTACTAGATTGAATAGATTACACCACGCAGTAATTACAACCTGGGAAGCATTCCTTTTACTAGAATCTCCATATGGGATGTTCGTTAATACTTGGTTAACAGAAACTATTGGACAAAAAAGTAGAATGTAAGTCCTGATACTGAAGCCCCTTTTACCCCTCTGGTTCTGAATTTAAAATAGATAGAGATTGCTAATTATACTGACAAGAAGTGAATGAGGCAGATAGAGTATAAAATTCAAATTAAGTCCCGTACCTTTGTGCTTGTTTGGTTGCTTTTGCTTTATGTTGTCTCAGCACTTTACTGTGGCATGCGTGTCTGCCTAGTTGCTTTTTCTATGGGATGAACTTCCTCAGGCTATGAACTGGATATTGTTTATTTCTGTATCAGAAGCCTCAGAAGAGCAAAGCATGTAGAAACATGTTAGATATCTGTAAAACAACTATATTTTGCTCTGTAGCTACAAGAAAATTATGACCTTTGGAGCTTCTGTGTAAGTGTTTCTTCCACAACTACTCTTAATAGCCATATTTATTGAGTTGTAATAACTCTAAATACATCACATAAATTATATAATCTGCAAAAATGCATTATGCTCACAAGAAGACACTGAATTCTTGGAGAACGAAGTAACTTATTCCTCATAAGTTATTTATGAGAGACCACAGATTAGACTTTAATCTTTAATGAATTGCAGGTTATAATTGCTATTATTCTATTATTTCTAATGATAACTTTTCTGTGAACTCTTTATGATGGTCCATCTGTGAAATAAGTACTAATACTAAATATTAAAACCAATAAGTTTTTTGAAAATAGTATGAAAAAATGCATATAATTTTATTAACCAACTTTTGGTGTTTATTTCAACTTCTTTCATTATACATTTAACGTTAGATTAGTGCCTCACTAATGTCTTCCGGTCTCTGGAGATCTCCAAGATGATGTGTTTAGATATCATTATAAATTTGAAGAGAAACCAGCACTAAACAAGACAGAAGATAGGAAAGTGTACAATATTGATCTCCTAAGACAATTTCAGGTCATCTTTTACATTTAGCTGCTTTCTGACTACAATATTGTACCCAGAAGTTTTTGGAAACAGTTTATGTAAATTATGGGTAAGATATGATAAAGTCATCTGTACACTAACTAAAATGTTTAAATATATCTTAAAATACATAATTTATTAGGTGTTTAATATTTAAACAGTAATATTCTAGCTGTTTCTCTTGGTCATTTTTATTAGTATTGTCCCAATTGAGAGAGGTTAAAATTTTCACAGCAAAGACAGACAGTGTATTTTTTATATCTCATGATATAATTAACTTCTTATTATTAGATTTATAAATTATATATAAGCAAAATACTGAAATGTAGTCATCTCATTGATTTAACAGTTCTCTAATAAAGCAAATGCCAAGTATATTGTTTTATTTGTATAGATATTTTAATGCATCTCTAAAGTTTAAATTTAAGAAGATGGCCATGGTGCTATTATCACACATAATAAAAACTACTTTATAAGCTTGGGCAATGTGGCAAAACACTGTCTCTAAAAAAAATACAAGAATTATTCTGCTGTGGTGGTATGAACCTGTAGTCTCAAGTACTTGGGAAGATAACATGCCATTTTATTCACTACCTGTTGGTATTTGTTTAAACTTCCTTTATCATACTTTTAAAGTTAGATTAGTGAATCAATTATGTCTTTTAGCTTCTAGAGTAATATTTACGCTTGATATTATGTATAATAATCACCTCAAAGATCAACATTACTCATCATCAAATAGACGTTTTTATTATCAAATGAACATTTTCATCACTGACAGGAAACTACCTCTTCCTAGCCATGTAAGAAAAAGAAATAATATACTTATATATAAATATACAACATATAACTTTATATAATATACATAATTTTGCAAGCTTGTAAAGTAATCATATAGTTTTTGAGCCACGTACAAAAGTGACCAGTAATATTTGGTCCATTTTTACATTTGAAAAAGCTCATTTAGGCCAGGCACTATCACTCACACTGGTAGTCTTGGCACTTTGTGAAGCCAAGGTAGGCAGATTACCGGATTATAGGAGTTCATACCCAGTCTGGGCAACATGGTGATATCCCGTCTCTATTAAGATTCAAAAAATTAGCCGAGTGTAATGGTCTGCATCAGTAGTCCCAGCTACCTGGGACAATGAGGGGAAAACATTGCCTGAGCTGTGATTGTGCTGCTGCACTTCATCCTGAGCAATGAAGAGAAGTCACCCCCCGACCCCCAACACACAGCTTCATAACATCTTGATTTTGTTTTCTTTGTTTCACTCATTTTATCAAGGCCTAATTTGTGGCACGTATGATAATAAACACTGTCACACAACTTTTAATCATATACCGTAGTATATAGCTCTTTCTAGTTTGTAAAAAAAAAAGCTGCACTCCCTCATAAGAGTTTAGTGTTCTTTCAAAAAAGTGCTTACTAGATAGATCAGAGGTAGGAAGCAAAAGAGATATTCTGATTTCTGGGCTGCCTTCTGTTTCACTCACAGCCCCTCCCCTTCCATTTATTAGTGTATCACTTAGATTTCTTTTAAAAGTCTGTATCACACCTATAATGCACTGACTCCCCATTATATCTCTCAGTTTAATTTTCTAGATTCCATAGCTAAACTGTAAGCCTAGGTTATAAGTATGATTTGCATATATAGTTCTTATTTACCTATTTTAGTTCTATAGCCTCACATGTGACTTCCTCTTCTTTTCAAGTATGTTAACAATTTATTTTTATCAGCGTTCTCTACTTGAAATATTGTTTTCTGCAATCTAGGCCATATTCTGTTCTTGTTCTTTCAAATTATTATAACACTTTGAGTTTAGTCTTCAAAACTTTTACTCAAGTATTTATGTGTGTGTGCATCTATGTGTGATCGTTTGGAACAATTTGGCACCAGGGACTGTTTTTGTGAAGGATAATTTTTTTTTCCATTCATATTTTACTGTCACAACCCATTTTTAAAATACAAGTTACATCTGTTCTATTTGGTAAATACTGCCTTAAGTACACTGCTTTAAAATTGTGTGCAAAACACAACTTTGCCTATTGAATACTCTTTGCCATTAATTTCTCCCATAAACAGCCAAGCAGTCAGGCACTTTTTTTTTTTTGACATCGAGTTTCACTATTGTTGCCCAGGCTGGAGTGCAATGGTGCAATCTCGGCTCACTGCAACCTCCGCCTCCCAGGTTCAAGAAATTCTCCTGCCTCGGCCTCCCAAGTAGCTGGGATTACAGGCATGTACCACTATGCCTAGTAGAGATGGTGTTTTACCATGTTGGTCAGGCTGGTCTTGAACTCCTGACCTCAAGTTATCGGCCCACCTTGGCCTCCCAAAGCGTTGAGATTACAGGCGTGAGCCATTGTGCCTGGCTGTCACTTCTTTTTTTTTTTATTATACTTTAAGTTTTAGGGTACATGTGCACATTGTGCAGGTTAGTTACATATGTATACACGTGCCATGCTGGTGCGCTGCACCCACTAACTCGTCATCTAGCATTAGGTATATCCCCCATTGCCATCCCTCCCCCCTCCCCCCATCCCACAACAGTCCCCAGAGTGTGATATTCCCCTTCCTGTGTCCATGTGATCTCATTGTTCAATTCCCACCTATGAGTGAGAATATGTGGTGTTTGGTTTTTTGTTCTTGCGATAGTTTACTGAGAATGATGATTTCCAATTTCATCCATGTCCCTACAAAGGACATGAATTCCTCATTTTTTACAGCTGCACAGTATTCCATGGTGTATATGTGCCACATTTTCTTAATCCAGTCTATCATTGTTGGACATTTGGGTTGGTTCCAAGTCTTTGCTATTGTGAATAATGCTGCAATAAACATACGTGTGCATGTGTCTTTATAGCAGCATGATTTATAGTCCTTTGGATATATACCCAGTAATGGGATGGCTGGGTCAAATGGTATTTCTAGTTCTAGATTCCTGAGGAATCGCCACACTGATTTCCACAATGGTTGAACTACTTTACAGTCCCACCAACAGTGTAAAAGTGTTCCTATTTCTCCACATCCTCTCCAGCACCTGTTGTTTCCTGACTTTTTAATGATTGCCATTCTAACTGGTGTGAGATGGTATCTCATTGTGGTTTTGATTTGCATTTCTCTGATGGCCAGTGATGATGAGCATTGTTTCATGTGTTTTTTGGCTGCATAAATGTCTTCTTTTGAGAAGTGTCTGTTCATGTCCTTCGTCCACTTTTTGATGGGGTTGTTTGTTTTTTTCTTGTAAATTTGTTTCAGTTCATTGTAGATTCTGGATATTAGCCCTTTGTCAGATGAGTAGGTTGTGAAAATTTTCTCCCATTTTGTAGGTTGCCTGTTCACTCTGATGGTAGTTTCTTTTGCTGTGCAGAAGCGCTTTAGTTTAATTAGATCCTATTTGTCAATTTTGTCTTTTATTGCCATTGCTTTTGGTGTTTTAGACATGAAGTCCTTGCCCATACCTATGTCCTGAATGGTAATGCCTAGGTTTTTTCTAGGGTCTTTATGGTTTTAGGTCTAACGTTTAAGTCTTTAATCCATCTTGAATTGATTTTTGTATAAGGTGTAAGGAAGAGATCCAGTTTCAGCTTTCTACATATGGCTAGCCAGTTTTCCCAGCACCATTTATTAAATAGGGAATCCTTTCCCCATTGCTTGTTTTTCTCAGGTTTGTCAAAGATCAGATAGTTGTAGGTATGCGGCGTTATTTCTGAGGGCTCTGTTCTCAATAAAATACTGGCAAAACAAATCCAGCAGCACATCACAAAGCTTATCCACCATGATCAAGTGGGCTTCATCCCTGGGATGCAAGGCTGGTTCAATATACGCAAATCAATAAATGTAATCCAGCATATAAACAGAGCCAAAGGCAAAAACCACATGATTATCTCAATAGATGCAGAAAAAGCCTTTGACAAAATTCAACAACCCTTCATGCTAAAAACTCTCAATAAATTAGGTATTGATGGGATGTATTTCAAAATAATAAGAGCTATCTATGACAAACCCACAGCCAATATCATACTGAATGGGCAAACCTGGAAGCATTCCCTTTGAAAACTGGCACAAGACAGGGATGCCCTCTCTCACCACTCCTATTCCACATAGTGTTGGAAGTTCTGGCCAGGGCAATTAGGCAGGAGAAGGAAATAAAGGGTATTCAATTAGGAAAAGAGGAAATCAAATTGTCCCTGATTGCAGACGACATGATTGTATATCTAGAAAACCCCATTGTCTCAGCCCAAAATCTCCTTAAGCTGATAAGCAACTTCAGCAAAGTCTCAGGATACAAAATCAATGTACAAAAATCACAAGCTTTCTTATACACCAACAACAGACAAACAGAGAGCCAAATCATGAGTGAACTCCCATTCACAATTGCTTCAAAGAGAATAAAATACTTAGGAATCCAACTTACAAGGGATGTGAAGGACCTCTTCAAGGAGAACTACAAACCACTGCTCAAGGAAATAAAAGAGGATACAAATAAATGGAAGAACATTCCATGCTCATGGGTAGGAAGAATCAATATCGTGAAAATGGCCATACTGCCCAAGGTAATTTACAGATTCAATGCCATCACCATCAAGCTACCAATGCCTTTCTTCACAGAATTGGAAAAAAATACTTTAAAGTTCATATGGAACCAACAAAGAGCCCGCATCACCAAGTCAATCCTCAGCCTAAAGAACAAAGCTGGAGGCATCACACTACATGACTTCAAACTATACTACAAGGCTACAGTAACCAAAACAGCATGGTACTGGTACCAAAACAGAGATATAGATCAATGGAACAGAAGTGAAGGACAATTTTTTAAGACTGTGGTTGCAGGGACAGTTTGGGGAAGACTCAAGTGCCCTACATTTATTATGCACTTTATTTCTATTATTATTACATTATAATATTTAATGAAATAATTATACAACTCACCATCATGTAGAATCAGTAGGAGCCCTGAACTTACTATCCTGCAGCTAGACGGTTCTATCTGGAGGTGATAGGAGACAGTTACAGGTGATAAGGCTTTAGATTCTTATAAAGAGTGCAAAACCTAGGTTTCTCACATGCACAGTAAATAGTAGTGTTCTAGCTACTATAAAAATCTAATTGATGCCAAGGATCTTATAGAAAGTGGAGTTCAGGTGGTAAGGTGAACCATAGGTAATGGTTTAACTAGAGATAAAGCTTCCGTGCTTGCCCACCAATCACCTGCTGATGTGTGACCCAGTTCCTAACAGGACACAGGTGGGTACTGCTTGGTGAACCCTACCTTAAGCCAAGGAGTTTGAGATCACAGTGAACTATAATTGTGCCACTGCACTGTAGCCTGGGTAACAAAAAAAAAAATAAAATAAACAAACAAATAAACTGTCTATACAGGGAAAATAATGTAAATAATACATTTTTAGAATTTGTTTCTTTAATAATATGTTTTGGTAAAATGTGAAGAATCATTTACAACTTTGAATGTGGACGTTAACAAACATAAAAATCTTCTTGATTATTTGGAACAGTATATGAAATGAAGGTGCAAATGTATATTATTGTAAAATGTGATATAAAGTATATTTTGTTCAGTTTTCAAAAAAATAATGATGTCATTGAACAGAATCAGAAGACATTAGAGTTGTTTGTGCTTATCCTCAAAATTAACATCTGCTTTTTCTTTACTGCTTTTCTCTTTACTGTTTTAGTGGTATCAGAGAGGTAATCAAGATGATAACGGGTTTAAAGGGAAAGAATATTGACAAAATACAGTGACTGACTAGAAAAAAATCAGCCTTATTAGGTGAATAATTTTAGATATAAAAGGATCTCAAAGATTGTTTTCATCTCTACTCTAAAATAAATTGCAATTTAGTGATTGAATCATGAGGAGTTAATAGAATAAAACATTTTTTTTCTACTGTAGATACCTCAGAAGTAAAAAAGTTTCTTAACTTAATGTGGTTACAACAGATTTTAACACCCACTTGTAGTTTCACAAACAGATTTTAATCTCTAGGCCTAACCAGCTGATTTTATCTCTGCACAAATTGATTGGGAGAGGAAATGGTAAAATGTCCTTGAAGATGTTATATGTTAAGTAACACATATGTCTTTCTTCACTTTCATAACTTCTCACCTCCAAGCTTTCTGCATTGTTTTGAATTTAGCTGCCATTTAGATTGTGGTTTGTTTATAAAGTCATCCTTCCTTCTATTCACACCTCTGAGACTTGGAACAGTTTATTTTTACCCTTTCTACCACTTTTTTTTCCTTTCCTTTCCCTTTCCTTTCCTTTCCTTTCCTTTCCTTTCCTTTCCTTTCCTTTCCTTTCCTTTCCTTTCCTTTCCTTTCCTTTCCTTTCCTTTCTTTTCCCTTCCCTTCCCTTCCCTCCCCTCCCCTCCCCTCCCCTCCCTTCCCTTCCTTTCCCTTTCCTTTCCTTTCCTTTTCCGTTTTTTTGAGACAGAGTCTCGCTCTGTCGCCCTAGACTCTGTTGCCCAGGCTAGAATGCTGTGGCACAATCTCGGCCCATTGCAAGCTCGGCCTCCTGGGTTCATGTCATTCTCCTGCCTTGGCCTCCCGAGTTGCTGGGACTACAGGCACCTGCCCCAACACCTGGCTAATTTTTTGTATTTTTAGTAGAGAAGTGGTTACTCCATTTTTAGCCAGGATGGTCTCGATCTCCCAACCTCCTGAGCCACCTGCCTCGGCCTCCCAAAGTGCTGGGATTACAGGTGTGAGCCATGCACCCTGCCCTTTCTGCCACTCTAAATCCACACATTTAAAATAATTATATATAGTTATTACCTTTTTATAATTAGTGAGACCAGCCTGGCCAACAGGGTGAATCCCCATCTCTACCCAAAATATGAAAATTAGCCAGGCATGGTGGCAGATGCCTGTAATACTAGCTACTGGGGAGGCTGAGACAGGTGAATCGCTTGAATCCTGGAGGCACAGGTTGCAGTGAGCTGAGATCCTGCCATTGCACTCCAGCGTAGGTGAAAAGAGTGAAACTCCATCTCAAAAAAAAAAAAAAAAGACAGTGAGGATTAAATTTATTAATATGTGTGCAGCTCTTAGTGTATTACCTGGTCTTTAAGTGCTATAAATATTAGCTGCTATTATTATTGCTTATCATATATCTTCAGTTTACTCACACCAAATTCTAATTAATAGCATAAAAGAAAGCATTAGAGGAATAAAACAGATAGTAGTGGCTATATGGAACCACATAGCCATCAGGGTCTGTGTCAGTAATGTTTTCCAATTTGCAACACATAAGTGACCTTTTACATCCACAGGTTCTGCAAACACAGATTTCTCTAAACATGTATTAAAATGTCCAAAAACAAAAAATAACAATACAATAAAAACTAGCAAATTTAAAAGCAATTACAATATAATTGTCTACTTAACATTTACATTTTATTAATTATTTAAGTTATTTAGAGATAAGTAAACTATACAGAAGGATGTGTGTATGTTATATTTACGTACTGCACCACTGTTCATTAGAAACTTGAGCAGACACAAATTATAGTAATCATGGGGATCCTGTAGCCAATCCCCTACAGATGCCAAAGGATTACTATATATAAACATTTTAAGCTTTGGTAAGTAAGCATTGCTTAAGTTAGTTATGACATAATTACCCTGCTGGTGTTAAC
The DNA here is from genome assembly GCF_000001405.40 of Homo sapiens. Classification (NCBI taxonomy): domain Eukaryota; kingdom Metazoa; phylum Chordata; class Mammalia; order Primates; family Hominidae; genus Homo; species Homo sapiens. The sequence goes on along the minus strand of NC_000024.10, from coordinate 9,191,498 downwards.
TATCATTTACTCGTCTGTATAAACTAGATGAGAAAGACTATAATTTTTTTTGAGACGGAGTCTCGCTCTGTTGCCCAGGCTGCAGTGCAATGGCACAATTTCAGCTCACTGAAACCTCTGGCTCTCAGGTTCTAGCAATTCTGCCTCAGCCTCCTGAGTAGCTGGGATTACACGTTTGCACAACCATACCCTGCAATTTTTTTTTTTTTTTTTTAGTTGAGACTGGGTTTCACCACATTGGCCAGGATGGCCTCAATCTCTTGACCTCGTGATCTGCCGGCCTTAGCCTTCCAAATTACTGAGATTACCGGAGTGAGCCTCCGCGCCCAGCTCAAAAGATTATAAACTTTAAAATTCTCATTACATTGTTTTAATGTCTGCGCAGGTAACAAGAGAATATTTGTTTATATTCTTTGTTTATGGTATGTTAACACAGGAAAGCACTTGCTATTTAAAATATTCCCTTTTGGTTTTGCAGCCAACTCAAACAATTTTAATATGTCTGGGAAAATGTACAATTATATTCAGTGATTATTTTTAATTTCTCTGGGACCTGGATATGGGACCTTACACAGTAGCAATGCTGATCAAGCAAGTAGTGGGAATTATTATTATTTTATTTATTTATTTTGAGACAATAGTCTTGCTCTGTAGCACAGGCTGGAGTACAGTGGTGCAATCTTGGCTCACTGCAAGCTCCACATCCCAGATTCATGCCATTCTCCTGTGTCAGCCTCCAGAGTAGCTGGGACTACAGACACCTGCCACCAAGCCGGCTAATTTTTTGTATTTTTAGTAGAGATGGCGTTTCACCATGTTAGCCAGGATGGTCTGGATCTCCTAACCTGGTGATCTGCCCGCCTGGGTCTCCCAAAGTACTGGGATTATAGGCATGAGCCACCGTGCCTGGCTTATTATTCTTGTATTATTCAAAGATGGTAGCCAATGACTCAGATCACTGGTATAAATTTGATGATGGAGATGTAACAGAATTGAAAATAGAAGATGATAAAGAAATTTAAAAAGTCAGTGTTTTGGTGGAGAGTACACAAATGTATTTGATTACACACTGAAGTGCATGTCATAGAGATGAGAGAAGAGATGGTGAAATGCTTGTGTACTTATTTTTAATAAGCAAATGGACATGATAGATGAAGGTGATGAGATGGTAAGATATATATTATGACTAACTTTTGCAATACCACATCACATCATTACATCACCAGCCATTGAGAGAAGTGTATAGAAACAAAATGTGAAATTTATCCATAATGGAATAAAAGTATTTACATTAATCGTGTTTATTTAAATCCTGCTCAAGGTAAGCTTTTAGATTAGCTTCTTACTAATAAAAAATAATTTGTGTTTGGCTTGCGTGATTCCTTACAAAGCATCAACATGTGTTTACTTTTTTTCTTTAGGCTTCATTTACCTTTTCTTATCGAATCATTAGCCTTAATTTATGTGAAAGTGTTTCTTTTTGGTTTAGTTATTTAAAGTGTAAAATGTAATATATCTGTACATTAGAATAGTGGTACTTAATATATGGATATATAAAAGAGCATTATTTATAATAATAATTATTACTTTCTACTCAAGCACTAGTTTGCAGTATGGGTTAGTGAAGTGGTAAGTAAATCACTAAGAATTAGTGTTAACTAACAAAAATTTTATTTAGAAAGTGCTTGAAAATACAAATGTTTTTGACTGTATATGTATTTTTATTTGAAGAGTAGAATTACTTTTCTGCCTAAAGCACAAGAAATTACTATGATTAGTATACAAATTGCTGGTATATTCCACATCACCACTGGATTTCACACCAAAAAAAATAGTTTGTGGTCCTGCCAGTGACTTGTACATGGCTTTGCATTTCATTCGTAGAGTTCTTACAATTGGTTTGGTTCTCTATTATACTGCTTTACATTTTCCTAACCATAAAAATATTATTTCAAATTTTAAATACACAATAAACATTTTTGTAGTAATTGTGAGAGAATTCTTAGTAAACTTAAAAATCTCTAATCTAAATGTGCATTTATTATTTAAAAATTGGCTCACATACCAATAAATTTGTATCACATCATGTTCTACTTTATCATTACATAAGAAGCTTTATCTCTACCAGATAAAATTTTAACTTATAGTTAAAAATGTAGATCATTTTTAGACCAGGTTTTGTGGCTTATATTTGTAATTCCAAAAATAGTAAAGGTCAAGGCAAAAATAACCTTGAGGGCAGGTGTTTGTAACCTGGTTTGGCAAAATAGTGAAGTACCATCTCTACAAAAAGTTTTTAAGAATTAGCTAGATATGGTGGATCACACCAGTAAACTTAGCACTATATGATGCCAAGGTGGATGGATTACCTTAAGCCTAGATTTTGAGGCCTGCCTCAGCAACATTTCAAAATTCCGTCTCTAACAAAAAAATTAAAATAAATAAACAAATTAAATAATTAGCTGAGCCTACTGTCCTCTTCCTGTAGACCCAGCTCATTGGGAGGCTAAGGCAGCAGGATAACATGAGCCCATACGTTTGAAGCCGCAGTTAGCTATAATTGCACCACTGCATTCATTCCAGCTGTAGCAATAGAGACTTTGTCTCTTAAAACAATTAAAATGACTGTAGTCTTAGCTTAGCAATAATTATAAAAGTATAGAGTACATTATAACTTGATTTAACAACTCTTTCAGCATTATGTTAAAATATGTTAATAAAGTGTTACTGAACTAGAAAAAGGTTGATAAGAATTTTCAGAGACCTACACACAATTGTATTTGATTTACATCTTTGACTTGACTGTGAAATTAAAGTCACAGAGCTTTATCAGTCAATCTGATATTTGTACTGTCTTAGTCCATTTTCAAGCTAAAGACATATGCTAGACTGGGCGATTTATAAAAGAAAGAGAGGTTTAATGAACTGACAGTTCCACATGACTGGGGAGGCCTCAGAATCATGATAGAAGGGAAAGAGGAGCAATTAACATCTTACACAGATGGCAGCAGGCAAAGCGAGAGCTTCTGCAAGGAAACTGATGTTTCAAGCCATCATATATAATGAGACTTACTCACTGTCACAAGAACAGCACAAAAAACATCTGCCCCCATGATTCAATTACTCCCCATCTCATTCCTCCCACCACATGTAAAAATTCAAGTGGGGTGGGGACACAGTCAAACCATATCATTCCAACCCTGGCCCCTCCCAAATCTCATTTCCTCACATTTCAAAACCAGTCATGCTTTTCCAATAGTCCTGCAATGCCTCAACTCATTGCAGCACTAACTCAATAGTCAAAGTCCAATATCTCATCTGAGACAAGGCAGGTTCTTTCTCCCTATGAGCCTGTAAAATTGATAGCAAGTTTGTTACTTCTTAGATACAGTAGGGTACAGGCGTTGGAAAAGTACAGCCATTCCAAATGTGAGAAGCTGACTGGAATAAAGGGGCTACAGCCCCCATGCGAGTCTAAAATCCAAGGAGGCAGTACAATCTTAAAGCTTCAGAATGATCTTCAAGAGCTGGGTTCCCATGGTCTTGTGCACCTGCACCCATGAGGCTTTGCAGGGTACAGCCTTCCTCCCAACTGTTTCCACCAGCTGGCATTCAGTATCTGTGGCTTCTCCAGGAACAAAATTCAAGCTGTCAGTGGATCTACTATTCTGGGGTCTGGAAGATGGAGGCCCTCCTGTGTCCAGAATTGGTGGGTTCTTGGTCTCACTGACTTCAAGAATGAAGCCGCGGACCCTCGAGATGAGTGTGACAGTTCTTAACGGCGGCGTGTCCAGAGTTTGTTCCTTCTGATGTTCAGATGTATTTGGACTTTCTTACTTCTGGTGGGTTCATGGTCTCGCTGGCTCAGGAGTGAAGATGCAGACCTTGGCAGTGAGTGTCACAGCTCATAAAGGCAGTGTGGACCAAAAGAGTGAGCAGTAGGAAGACTTATTGCAAAGAGCGAAAGAACAAAGCTTCCACAGTGTGGAAGGGGACCCGAGCAGGTTGCCACTGCTGGCTCCAGCAGCCTGAGTTTATTCTCTTATCTGGCCCCACCCACATCTTGCTGACTGGTAGAGCCCAGTGGTCTGTTTTGACAGGGCACTGATTGGTGGGTTTATAATCCCTGAGCTAGACACAAAGGTTCTCCACATCCCCACTAGATTAGCTAGATACAGAGTGTGGACACAATCATGGACTTAGCCTTAATCATTACAAGTTTACTTACTATAAAACTTTTGGGCCTAAAATAAGTGTATTTAATTAATTGTCATCAGAACTTTATATAAATAAAACATTAGGGTTTTCTCACTTTTAATTGAGCACTTCATTTAAAGTTATTGTTGTGACTCATAAAACTGTAAGCTTCACATAAATATCTGCTTTATTCCTCAGTAACTAACAATAATTTCTTTGTCTTGCATATTTAAAATCACTGTAAGGACTATAAATTCTTCCCTACTTTCTGCAAAAGGTAATACAGCTTACACATCAATTCATCTTAGAGATGGATTGCATAAATTAGAGCACATTGAAAGGCAAGTTATGTAGCTACAAATCAGAATGAAACAGATCTTCATATACTGACAGGTGTTTGACTAAATACAAAACAAAGTTAATAATGCTGTATATTGTATATTTTCATTTGTGTAAAAAATAAACAAATAGTTACATGCATGGATTAGTGCACATACAGACATAATCTCTGGACCAGGAATATAATATTGGTGGCAAGTTAATAATTTGCAGTACATATCCTCTTATGTATTTGGAAATATATTTTAACCCCATAAAACTGTTAGCTAAATAGTTTAACAACAGCAGTGTTTGTTTAAAAAAACTCTTTTGAAAATATGTATTTACTATGTCAATACAATAGTTAAATAAATTAAGAAAAAGGTGTTTTTCAAAAGTAAACTCTTTCCTCTACAAAGAACCCACAAGACAAATAAAGATCTGACCTTTTAAGCAGTGAGTTTAGCTAGAAAATCCTACAATGTGCTAGAAAATATACTCCCACAGATAAAAATATAAATATAATTTCACATTTACTAATTAAAGGTCTATACTGAATGCTGCTGTTAATTATATATTTAACATTCAGTTTTCTCTTGAAATAAACTAAATTTTATGTTATTCTTTGTTAATTTACTTACATTACCTCAAACTTGTTTTAGTTCTGTGTAAGATTTCAACATTACTACCCTCTTTGTGGGACTGATGTGGTATTTAGAAGCAATAAAATGCACTCAAATGTTCTCTTCTCATATCATGATTTTTAAACCATAACTTTCTTAGAATTTAACTAAAATAACATTAAGCAACTTCAATTTGTGGGTTATGAAAAACTTTTTAATGCATACATTTTAAATATAAACTTTTTATAGTATTACATTTGATTCCTCATTACTCTAAAGTTTCAGTATTTTTTCACATGTGATTCAAACAACTCACTGTGTTAAGTTACCAAAGCCAACTATAGGGGAGCATTAAATAAATAGATATTAAATAAATTGTACTCTCCGACTAAAATTGTATTAATTATGTACCTGATGGCTACAGAATGTTAAAATAGTTGACAAAAAACCATGAGTTGGTTTTATCTAAATGAGAAAATAGAATTTCACACAAAACTATGATTAATGAACAAAAGCAGCTTTAATTTAAAATACTCACTAGCTATTGTTTTGTCTGTGTAATATATTTCAGCCAAACAGTCTACTGTCTTTTTAAGATTTTTTTACACAGCCAATAGCTGGTGTTACAAGTAGCTCAAAACCAGAATTGATGGTGTTTGGTGAGCGACAGACTGGAACAGCCAGCTCGGCTGGCAGTTGTTTACTTCTTAAATATTGCAGGTGAACTTTTTATGCAGGGAAGATGAAACAATCAATTAATTTCTAGTAAGTCAGAAAAAGTAATCACAGTATTATTTGTAGAAAATATAGGTAAAAAAATTCTTTTCAAAGAAAATATTTTAAGTTTATTTGACATAATTAAACATCTCATTGTATCTTGAAACAAATTTGAACTTTCTTACATAAGCAATTCCTAAAAAAAAACCAAGTAAAATCAATAAATGTAATTATTTTCCCAGAGTAGATTTTTAAAGAAATTTCTAAAGCCTGAGAAATTTACCCAAAAGAAAAATAACATTCTAAATTAACCTACTCTTTTAATTACATAAAAATGGAAATAAATTCATTTAAAATATAAAAAGGCATTAAAGCTTTATTATTTTTCATGAATTATGAGATATATAAACTCATAAAAATATGATATAAAAATAAATTTTTGCAAGATGTATGTTTTTCTCAATTATAAATTCAATCAAGTGCCAGGCACGGTGGTTCACATCTGTAGTCCCAGCATGTTCTGAGAATAAGGTAGGCAAATTACTTGAGGTCAGGAGTTAGAGAAGAGTCTGTAGAATATGGGGAAACCCCATCAGCTGTGGTTGTGTCCGCCAGTAATCTCAGCTAATCAAGGGGCTGAGGAAGATAAATCACTTGAAGCTGTGAGTCAGGTGGTTGCAGGGTGCCAAGATTGCACTCTGCACTCCAGGCAAAGGGGCAGTGTGAGATATCATTCTAAAAATAAAAGGGAAGAAATTCAATCAACTAAGAATTGAAATACACTATTTACTTTTCAATGCAGTTTGTCAAAAACTGATTTGTAATTATTTTTAAAAAAATATCTTAAGGCTCGGTGTGGTGCCATGCACAAGTAATTCAAGCTATTCAGGAAACTGAGGCAGGAGAATCACTTGAACCCAGGGGTCAGAGATTGCAGGGAGCCAAGATCGCACCACTTCACTCCAGTCTGGCAACAGAGAGAGACGCCATATTTAAAAAAAAAAAAAAGTCTTCAGTAAAGTGTGGCACATATTTAAAAGTTACTATAAACTCTACAAAAATAAAAGCCTTCTTATTTTTAATTTTATTTTATATTAAATTCCATGGTACACATGCAGGACATGCAGGTTTATTTCACAATTAACCACGTGCCATGGTTGTTGACTGCACATATCAACCCATAATATAGGTAGTAAGCCCCGCATGATTTAGTTATTTATCTGAGTCTCTTTTTTCCCCCCTGGCAGACCCAAGTATGTGTTCTTTCCCTCCCTGTGTGTATGTGTCTTCAATGTTCAGTTCCCATGCATGAGTGTGAACATGCAGTGTTTTTTTTGTGTGTGTGTTTTGTTTCCGTGTTAGCTTACTGAGGATATTGGCTTCCTGCTTCATACATGCCCCTTCACAGGACATAATTTCATTCCTTTTTATGGCTGCATATAATTTCATTGTGTATATGTACCACGCTTTCTTTATTCAGGCTGTCGTTGATAGGCATTTGGGTTAATTCCACGTTTTTGTTACTGTGAATAGTTCTGTAGTAAACATACATATGCATGTATCCTTGTAATAGAATAGCTTGTTTTTGGAAGAGTATATATCCAGTAATGTAATTGCTGAGGCCAGTGGTATTTCTGGTTCTAGATACTTGATGAATCATCACACACTTTTTCACAGTGTGTACTGATTTGCATTCTGAACAACAATATAAAAGTATTCCTATCATTGCACTGCCTCACTATCATCTGTTGTTTCTTGGCTTTTTAGTAATCACCATTTTGACTGGCCTCAGATGGTGTCTCATTGCAGTTTAGTTGTGCATTTCCCTAATAATTCATGATGGTGAGCTTTTTGAGATAAAGACCAATAACTCTTTTCTTACCCAAATGTGGCCTCTTATATCAGCTCTTCAACATCCATTTAACCTGTGTTTTTAACACTATCCTGCAAAAGGAAAAGTATTATAGGCTTAACTTACATGATGATGATAGAAAATTACAGGATGTTAGAACAGCAAAGACTTAGAGAAAAGTGAGATTTCATGTAAAATTTGCGCAAAATTTTTAAAAGCAAGTTCTTATTTCTTCTTTAGAACTCTGTAGAATAGTAAATTGCATCAGTTTTGTTTCCACAAGATACAAACATACTTGCGTATTTCCACCATGGAAAAAAAAATTTACTATCACACTTAGTCGAAGATGCCAGAAATGCTACTCATAATCCTACAGAATGCAGCAAAAAATCCTCACAGAAAGAAATTACATGAGTACAAAATGTCAAAACCAGGAATAAGAAATTCTGTTCCATCAGTAAACTTTATAATCCACCAGAAAAATGCCAATCTGAACACCAATGCCACATATTTTAGAAATATATTCTCACATAATAAAAAGAGTAAGAGAGTGTAAGTAAGAGAGATCAGGTGACTCAATGCAAATGCAAATCTTTCAAATTTAATTCCTAAAAAAATTGGAAATATAATAATTTCCAAATAAGGTTTAACAATATCAAACTGTGGCCAGATGAGGTACTTTATGTTTGTAATCCCAGTGCTTTGGGAGGCTGAGGTGGGTGGATCATGATGTCAGGAGTTTACCACCAGCCTGACCAAGATGCTGAAATCCCACCTCAACTAAAAATACAAAAATTAGCCAAGTGCGGTGGCAGATGCCTGTATTCCCAGCTACTTAGGAGGCTGAGGCAGGAGAATCACTTGAACCCAGGGGGCAGAAGTTGTGGTGAGCCGAGGTCACACCACTGCACACCAGCCTGAGTGACACAGTGAGACTCTGACACACACACACACACACACAGACATACACACACAATTTATCTACCTATCAATCTATCTATCTACGTATCTATATCTCACATTGTAAGACACTCAATTATCAATATTTCAAGATCCAGTAGATGTAAGGCATTTAAACACAAGTAGCTATGCTTCTTTTGTCTTGGAATTTTGGTGGAGTCACCTTGCCAGATGGAAACCCCTGTGGCCAGTAGTGCCTTTGCCTCAGTTTTGCTAAGGCCTGCTAAGCTTGTTATACGCACTCTGCCTGAGAGGCTGCCTTCCCCTTGCATTATAGGCATGGATTTAACACCTGCCAAGGGCAAATGTGGCATAGAGTGGCAAGGGGTGTATGAGCGAGTGTGGGCATCAGCCACTACACATAGCCAGGCATGCCAGCTGTGGCAGGGCAGGAAATTTTAGGTGCCAAGAGAAGTGCCATCTCACTGAGAAGCTGCAGCTGGATCAGGCATTCTGCAAGCAGCTTCCATAGCTTATACTAAGGAATGGAGTTGTGCCCAGAAGTTTGAAGATGCCAGAAACTTCAAAGCCCTAAAGATGTCACAGCCCTGGCTTTGAGAGTGCCTAGGTCTGTGCACCCTGAAGGGTCATAGCTCTCCTCTTATTTTTGTCTTCCACAATGTGATGAGCAAGGTATGTCTTTTTTCCCCCAGTTTGTGTTACAACTCTTTCAGCTTCACCATTCAGCTTATCTCAAATAATTGCTCTGCCTTCAGGAATAAAGACGTAGATGGACAATTAAAGAGTGTGCAATGTAAAGAGAAGCTGTACTGAATGAGAGAACACAGAAAAGCCCCTCACTGGGTAGCTCCTCCACACAAGCCAGATGTCCTGATGAGTGTCCAGCTCTCAGCAAAGAGAGTGGGTAGCTCCTCTCTAAAGGCAGGGTGTCAGTGATTACCATCCAGCTCTCAGCAGAGAGGAGAAACTGGAGCGGGTATCTTCTCCATCCAGCTAGTCATCTTGCCCAGTTTTAAGCTCCGTGCAGAGAGAAGGCTCTGCAGTGGGGAAATCCTCATATCTGGTGGTCCCAACATCTAAGCTTTCAGCATAGAAGAGATCTTGGAGTAGGTAGCTTATCCGTTTATCTAGCTGCTCCATTATCTCCCTAGCTCTCAGCAAAGCCTGTGGTGGGTAGCTCCAGTGTGCTGTTGAAAGTTCTGATGCCTCCTTAGCTCTCAGCAGAGAGAAGGCCCTTCAGTGTGTCGGTCCTCTCCACAGCTGCTTGGTAGTCTGTCAAGTCTTCCAGTGTGGCTGAATCCAGTAATTTTACATCGTTCAAAGAAAATAAAGTGCTTGCTGATTGGATTATTGGGCAGCAATTTCTTTAATAAAAGTAAATTTACTTTTTATTAATTTAAAAGTAAATTTAAATAAAAATTACTTTAAATTTAATTAAAAGTAAATTTACTTAATAAAGCAATTTACTTAATAAAAGTAAAATCATTTCCCATTCTTGTCCATCAGCCTATGCCCCAGACTTCAAGATGTCACTGCTTGAAGGTGGAGCTTCGGTGGGGAGCAACAAATTTATGCCCAGGAGCCTGTGATGGTTAATACTGAGTGTCAACTTAACTGGACTGAGACGTACAGAGTATTAATCCTGGGTGTGTCTGTGTGAGTGCTGCCCAAAACAGATTAACATTTGAGTCAGTGGGCTGGAGAAAGCAGATTCAACCTTAATCTGGAGGGCACAATCTATCCAGCTTCCAGTAAACATAAAACAGGAAAAAAACGTAAAAAGGTGAGATGGACTAACCTCTTGCCTACATCTTTCTCCTGTGCTGGATGCTGTCTGCCCTCACATGGCTGACTCCAGGTTGTTCAATTTTGGTACTCAGTTTGGCTATCGTTGATTCTCAGCTTGCTGACAGCCTATTGTGGGACATTGTGATCATGTAAGTTCATACTTAATAAACTCTTCTATAGATATTAGTTCTGTCCCTGTGAAAGAATCCTGACTAATAAAGATTTTGGTACCAGAAATGGTTCTAGAGGAACAGAACATTAAAAATAAAGTTCTTTCATTGGTTTTGGAGGTTCTGAAGTTGGCTGTTTAATATAATTTGATGCAAAAAGTCTGTGGACTCTGCTTCTAATAATATGGAGAACACTGATAGTCCTTGGTGGAAACCATTTAGAGACTTATGCAAAATAAATGAATTTGGCACTCCTGATTCACTGATTGTGAGAATCAAGGAGTTTAGTGGTTCTATACATAATACCTTTGACCATATGTGGAGAACCAAAGAACACAGTGAAGCTGCTTGGTAGCTCCTAAGTTCAGTGAACAATATGATGAAAGAAAATGATGAACTGAGGGATACTGTCTCCCAACTTCAGAAGCAGATACTGAGGCTCAAATCTGCCAATTTTGCCCTGAGTAAGAATCTTATCATTTGTAGAGCAAGAGCTGAAACTGGAAAAACAGACACAGGCTCTTATCATGTAAGTCACTGACCTGCAATAAAAGATGCATGCACAGCCTCACCAGGTGTCTACTGTTATAGTGAGGGCATGGATTGAAAAAGAAACGGACCCTGTAAATCACAATAGGGATGTGTAGAAGAACCCTGATGAATCTGGTGACAGTGAGTGGTTAACTCTGATGAACTTTTTTTTTTTTTGGTGCCAGAAAGAATGGCTTCCTCATCTCAAGAAGTGGCAACATCCCCTTTCTGATCCACACTTCCATCAGCCTTTCCAACTCTGTCTGAAGAAAGAAACCCTGCACTGGCTGAGACAACAGTGTTTTCCACCCCTGAGGCAGTTTCTAGGAAAGATAATATGATTTCTCCTCAGAAGCCATCCCCAACACCTCTGTTTGTTTCTAAACCTATAAGTAGATTAAAGTTCTGGTGGGCTCCTAGAGGTGAGGTGGAGAGTGTGACCCATGAAGTGGTGTGCTACACTCAAAAAGAACTGTTAGAGTTATCTCATTTATTTGAACAGAAATCTGGAGGACAGGCATGGGAATGAATATTAAGTGTAGGGGATAATGGGGGAAGAGGAATCATGGAATTGTATCAGACTGAATTTATTGAGTAGAGCCCACTAAGTAGGGAATTTGCATTTAATGTTGCTGCTCAGGTAGCTAAAAAAATTCTAATAGTTGATTTGCCTGGTTAGCTGAAATATGGATTAAAAGATGTCCCACTGTGAGTGAGCTGGAAATGCCTGGTCTTCGTTGGCTTAATGTAGAGAGAGAGATCTGGAGGCTTAGGGAAATTGGGATGGTGGAGTGGATTCATCTCCTTAGACTTTACTCATTCCACTTTGAAGGGTCCAGAAGAGATACCCTTTACCAATGCCTTGTGAAATAGATTTGTGAGGGAAGCACTTGCATCTGTGAATAGCCCTGTAATTTCTCTTCTGTGTATGTCAGATTTAATGGTGGGAAACACAATCACTCAACGGCAAAATTTAAATACGATGAGAAAAATTGGATCCCCAGGTGGCAGGGGCCAAGTGGCAGTACTCAACCATCAAAGGCAAGGTGGATGTAACTAAGGGAAGTGGCAATTACAATAATGTGACTCCTATGGAGCTCTGGCATTAACTAATTAATCAAGGTGTTCCTGGAAGTGAAATTGAGAGAAAGCCTACTGCATTCACACTTAAGTTAAACAAACAGATAACTTTTGGGTCAAATAAAAAAAAGATTACTTTAAATTATAAAAGCAGTGAATTGCAGCCCCCTCCCCAATCAGTTTCCAAACTACAGCCAGTTTAAAGACCAAGAACCCCTTGAAAGAAGGAGAGGCCAGTTTCCCTTGAGGAACGACCCCACTACATTACTGACAATATAAGTGTGATCCTACAATTAAAGTAGGAGCTTATGGAGGTCAGGTAATGAATGGAGATTTAGCTTAGGTTGGACTTACAGAGTGTCCTATGGGTCCCAGGACTCATCTTGGAGTCATTTTCCCAGTGCTAGAATGCATAATTAGCATAGACATACTTAGCAGCTGGCAGAACCCCACATTTGCTCCCTGATGTGTAGGGTGAGGGCTACTACACTGAAAAAGTTCAAATGGAAGCCAATAGAGCTGCCTATACATAAAAAATAGTAAATCAAAAACAATATCACATTCCTGAGAGGACTGCAAAGATTAGTGTCAACATCAAGGACTTCAAAGATGCAGCAGTGGTAATTACCAGCACCTTTTCCTTCAACGCTTTCATTTGGACTGTGTAGAAGACAGATGGATCTTCGATAACAACAGTGAATTATCAAAACTTAACTAAGTTATGACTCAAATTGCAGCTGCTTTACCAGATGTAGTTTTATTGTTTGAGCAAATGAATACATCTCCCGGTAACTGGTATGCACCCATTGACGTGGAAAATGCCTTTTTCTTTATTAATATCTATAAGGCCCAGCAGAAGAAATTTGCCTTCAGCTGACAAGGCCAGCAATATACTTTTACTGTCCTACCTCAGAGGTATATCAGCTCTCTGTCTTCATGTCAGAATCTTACTCAGAGAGAACTTGATTTCTTTTCATTTCTGTAAGATATCACACTGGTCCATATAATTAATGACATTATGCTGATTTGATCCAGTGAGCAAGAAGTAGCAAGAACACTGGACTTATTGGTGAGACATTTTTATACCAGAGGATGGAAAATGAATCTGACTAAAATTCAGAGACCTCCTACCTCAGTAATATTCCTAGGGGTCCAGTCTTGTGGAGCCTAACAAAATATTCCTTCTAAGGTAAAGAATAAGTTGTTGCATTAGGCACCTCCTACAACCAAGAAAGAGGCACAGTGCTTGGTAGGATTATTTGGATTTTGGATGCAACATATTTTTCATTTGGATGTGTCACTCTGGCCCACTTATCGAGTGACCCAAAGGCTGCCAGCTTCCAGTGGCATCCAGAACTGGAGAAGTCTCTGCAACAGGTGCAGTCTGCTGGGCAAGCTCCTCTGCTACTTGGGCCACATGACCCACATATCCAATGGTACTTGATGTGTCAGTGGCAGATAGGAATGCTGTTTGGAACCCTTGCCAGGCTTCCACAGGTGAATCACAGCACAGGCCTCTAGGATTTTGCAACAATGCCCTGCCATCTTCTGTAGATAAATATTCTGCTTTGGAGAGACAGCTCTTGGCCCATTACTGGGCTTTGGTGAAAACTGAACTTTTGACTATGGGTCATCAAGTCACTGTGTGAGCTGAACTGCCTATCATAAACTGTGTGCTTTTAAACTCATCTAGTCATAAAGTGGGTTGTGCAAAGCAGCATTTCATTATCAAATGGAAGTGGTATATATGTGACAAGGCTTGAGCAGGTCCTAAGGCACAAGTAAGTTACATGAGAAAGTGGCTCAAATGCCCATGGAGACCATGGCCCACTCTGGCCATGGCACCTTCTCTCCTCCATCCTGCACCGATGGCCTAACGGGAAGTTATTTATGATGAGTTGACAGAGGAACTAACACTGGGACCTGGTTCACAAGTGATTCTGCACAATATGCAGCCACCACCCAAAAGTGGACAGCTGAAGCACTACAGCTCCTTTCTAGGACATCCCTGAAGGACAGTGGTGAAGATACATCTTCCCAGAGGGTAAAACTTCAAGCAGTGAACCTGGTTGTGCACTTTGCATTGAAGGAGAAACAGCCAAATATGTGTTTATATACAGATTAATGGGCCTTAGTCAATGGTTTGTCTGGAGGTCTGGCACTTGGAAGAAGCATGATTAGAATATTGGCAACAAAGAAATTTGGGGAAAAGATAAGTGGATGGGTCATTCTGAGTGGTGAAAAACTGAAGATACTTCTATTTTATGTGAGTACTCACCAACGAGTTACCTCAGCAGAGAAAGTGTTTAGTAATCAAGCAGATAGAATGACCCATTTTGTGGACACCGCTCTGCCTCTTTCCCCAGCCTGGCATTGCCCAATGGGCCCATGAACAAGGCGGCCATGTTGGCAGGAATGGAGCCCATGGACTCAGCAACATGGGCTTCTACTCACTAAGGCTGACCTGGCTATGGCCTCTGCTGAGTGCCCAATTTGCCAGCAGCAGAGACCAACACTGAGCCCTTGTTATGGGACAATTTCTCGGGGTGATCAGCCAGCTACGTGATGGCAGGTTGAATATATTTAACTTCTTCCATCATGGAAAGGGCAAAGGTTTGTCCTCGCTGGAATAAATTTTTACATTTCTCATGGCTTTGCCTATTCTGCATGCAATGTGTCCACCAAGACTACCATCAGTGGACTCGCAAAATGCTTTATTCATCATCATGTTATTCCATGCAGCATTTCCTCTGACCAAGGCACTCACTTTAAAGCTAAAGAAGTGTGGCAGTTGGCTTCTCCTCATTAAATTCTCTGGTCTTGCCATGCTTTTTATCATCCTGAAGCAGCTAGATAAATAGAATGGTAAAATGGCCCTTTGAAGTTACAATTACAATGCCAATTATGAGAGAATACTTTGAAGGGCCTGTGGCAAAGTTCTCCAGAAGACCATGTGTGCTGTGAATCAGCATCCAATATATTGTACTGTTTCTCTCACAGCAAGAATTCATGGGTCCAAAAATCAAGGGTTGTAAGTAGAAATGTCACCACTCACCACCACCCCAAGAGATCCACTAGCAACATTTTTTGCTTTCTGTTTCCAAGACGTTAAGTTCTGTTGGCCTAGAGATCTTAGTTCTAGAGGGAGGAATGCTGCCACCAGAAGACACGGCCATGATTCCATTAAACTAGAAGTTAAGATTGACACCCAAACACTTTGGCCTTCTCCTACCTTTGAGTCAACAGTCTAAGAAGGAAGGCACAGTATTGACTGAGGTGATTGACCCAAACTATCAAGGAGGAAATCAGTCTACTGCTCCACAATTTAGGTAAGGAAGAGTATGAATGGAATAGAGAAGGTACATTAGGATGTGTCTTAGTATTACTATGACCTGCGATTAAGGTCAATAGGAAACTACAAGAGCCCAATCCTGGCAGGACTCCAAATGGTTCAGATCCTTCAGGAATTAAGGTTTGGGTCACAAACCAGGAAAAAAAAAATGACCTGCTGAATACCTTACTGAAGGCAAAGAAAACACACAATGGGGAGTAGAAGCCAGTCATCAATACCGCCTGAAAACACGTGACCAGCTGCAGAAATGACGACTTTAATTGTCTTAAGTATTTCCTCCTTCTTTTTTTTTTTTTTTTTTGAGACGGAGTCTTGCTCTGTCGCCCAGGCTGGAGTGCAGTGGCGCGATCTCGGCTCACTGCAAGCTCCGCCTCCCTGGTTCACGCCACTCTCCTGCCTCAGCCTCCCGAGTAGCTGGGACTACAGGCGCCCGCCACCACGCCCGGCTAATTTTTTGTATTTTTTTAGTAGAGACGGGGTTTCACCGTGTTAGCCAGGATGGTCTCGATCTTCTGACCTCGTGATCCGCCCGCCTCGGCCTCCCAAAGTGCTGGGATTACAGGCGTGAGCCACCGCGCCCGGCCGTATTTCCTCCTTCTTTTGCTAAAAAAGTTTGTGCATATATACACATGTAGTAAGAAAATATCTTCATTTTTTCTTTCCTTTTATTATGTGACATAAGATATATTGACTTCATATCATCATTTGAGTATACGTAACTTTACGTAATAGTGTTCGGGTTGGGGATTGGTGTGTTCCTGATTGTATGAAGGATAGTTCTATTATGTTACGTGTAAATATGACCTCATTTTTGTATTATGTTAGGTGTAACTATAACCTCATTTTTGTCTTTATTTTAAGAGTACGTATTATCTCAGGAGATGTGGATAGATTCAAGTTGAAAAGGGGTGAACATATGACATACTGTGTGTCAATTTCACTGGATTGAGGGATACAAAGTATTAATCTGGGGCATGTCTCTTGGTAGTTTCCCAAAAACAGATTAACATTTGAGACAGTGGGCTGGGGAAGACAAACCTACCGTAATTTGGTGGGCACAATCGAATCAGCTTCTAGCGAATGTAAAGCAGACAGAAACATGAGAAAAGGTGAGATGGGCCTAGCCTCCAAAGCCTCCATGTTTCTCCTGTGCTGGATGCTCCTTGCCCTCGGACACCAGACTCCAAGTACTTCAGTTTTGGGACTTGGATTTTTCTCCTTGTTCCTCAGCTAGCAAACAGCCTATTGTGATCATGTAAGTTAATATTTCATAACCTCCAATATATGTACATATGCACCCTTTGTTTGTGTGTGTGTATCTCTACATATATAGAGATACATATATATACACACATATATATGATACACACACATAAAGTGATGACAAAGTATACAATTTTTTGTATGTATTCTCAAAAAACATTCTTTGAATAAATACTAAAACTGTAAATCTTATTTTAATAAGTCAGCTGATTTGAGAGTCATAAAATGAACTAATTCTGTACAAAAAACTCACATATATACGTGTGTGTGTGTGTGTGTTTAAATGGTCCATAATGATCTCTGTAAACAAACACTCCAAAGGTACTCATGTTTCTATTTAGTTACTGTCAAGGCTCTAGAATCTACATCAGAGGAGTTGCTTAATAAATAGTTATGAATTAGTATATACTATTTATTTCTTTAAGAATAGAGGTATATTATGTCTTCTTAGAAAATGACAATTTAAACTTTCACACAGATTTAGGAAATACTGTTTCTGTAATCATGGTAAAATGTAACCATTTAAATCAGTTATAAAAGTAAGCAATCTATTACCTAACTGCCTCAGTGAAATAGCTTTTACAAATAATAATAACAATAATAATATTAAAGCAGTTCCAGCACTTTGACAAATTAGTGAGTAAAGCACAGTAAATATACCTCTTTTGCTGCAAGTTTTGCCTGAATAACTCTTTTCTACAAATAATGTCAGCTTCTGTATACTACTTAATATTGTCCGATGCCTTGATTTCATGCTGTCTGCATTTTTCCTAGAATGTGTCTAAATAGCATAGCTCTCCCTTAGTATATTAGGGAAAAAAATTTATGTCTTTTTACTTTAGGCATTGAGTAGCAATTTATTAATTTTGGAGGAAAAGCAAGCTCTATACGAGTAGAAGTTCTGCTAGTGGAGAAATCTCTATCTAGCATCAGTTACATAGCCAACAGGTCAGGTGCTAAATGAGAACAACTTGAGCATTATAAATGTGGATTACTACCATATTGCTACCTGCTAACGTTCTGAAACAAATTTCTGATTCAAACATAAAGATTTTACATTGCATGAATTCACCTCCTTTTTGGACTTACCTTAATATTTTCACATATTTTTCTTCTCACATTAATTTCCTCATTCATTTATCTTTATCTTATTGTCTAATATGCATTTTTGTGAACGCATTTATCTTTTATTATCTTAGAACAAGATGGAGGAGAAATAATTCTGATAAAAGATACCCACTGTGCAAACTTCTATAAAATATTTTTTAAGCAGTAGAAGATACTTGAGTATTTATTCTACTCAACAATTTTAGCAAAAGCGAAAATTCTCTAACCCCAGCTATAATCTTTGAAAGCTTGGTTTTTATTTGGCTTGCTTATTGTAATATCTTAGCAACTTTCATGTCATAAGACAATGTGTATGCACAATGTGAATGCATAACATAGTGTGCCAAAGCACAGGTGTGTCTGTGTTTTACGTATACCTTCAACCTCTAGTCAAGATTAGATCTATCCCAAAGGCCCTTGATTGAGTTTTCTCCCTTGGTACCCCTGAAATAGAGACTGCCTAGAGTTTTAATTTTCTATATTAGTGGTTTACAGAAATATTGAAAAAGCAATGGGAAAAAAGAAGAAAATAAGAAAATATGTGGTTTAGTTTGTAGTCATTTATTAACTAAACTGACTTCACTTTACTAATGCTTACCCTAACTTGAATGAACTAAACATTACATAAGCTTTTGAAAATCCTTCTGATATAAGAAACCAAAAATTGAGTTAAGAAATCTTCAAATGTGATATCAAATAATTCTAAATGTGTGTTTTAAAAATAATTTTCTTGAGAGATTGTTCAACACAGTTAATTTTTCAAAGGTGCCTAATACCCTAGGTTATAGGATATTTAGCAGCATTTCTAAACTCTCAGTACTAGATGCTAGTAACAAGCTTACCAATTCCACTTCCAGTCATAAACCAGGCTTAGAGTGAAATCTAACGTGAAATCTACTGACCTATAAAATCCCTAGACAATCACAGGGACTGTCTGTTACTTCTATGAGCTCATCATCTATAATGCTTTCCCTTCCACAGCCTGCTCCAGCAACAGGGACCTGGCTATTTTTTAAACAATTAAGCAGGCTTCTACCAGGGATCATCATACTGGTTGAACTTCCTGCATGTTTACATGATTATTTCCTTATTATTTTATTTAGATATTTACTTGAAAGTCACTTTTAAGCAAATTATTGTACATTTGTTTTATATAAAACCAAAATATACTTTATACCGATCTTGCCTCATATATTTTATATGGAATACAGAACTTCAATTAATAAAAAGCAAACAAAAAACTCTATAATATAACTACTAAAACAAAAATCTAACATCTAAAATCCAAAATTCGAGGTACAACACATAATTTAAGTATTTTAAACACAATTTTAGGAGAAAAAACATACGTCTCATAGATACAAATAAGCTACAAGAATAGAAAACAATCAATGTTTCATAGATAAAAATAAAAAGAAAAGTGCAAGGAAGGCAACTTCAAACCATTTAAAGAAAACTCATACCTTTCATAAGCAGCCTGGACCTTTGAAATAAATAGCTCATATTAGCCAAGTTAACATGTAATCAAGAGAGACAATTATAAAATTGTAAATTTTTTTGTGTATTACCATACTGCCTCCTAAGCACAGATGAAGGCTTATAAAAATTGAAATCCACAATTTTCCATGTGAGGCCCTGAATTCTGCTTCTGGAAGGAGTAAAGAAGCCCTTATATGGTAAATTATTGTGTTTTTTTCTAGTCTATCTAGGGTATATGTGAAGAATTGATGAAACACATTTATTTCTGTTTTGTCTAACATAGAATTCACTCTTGGTTGAAAATGCCAGAAATTGGTCATAAAACTTTAAGTTGCTGAGAACAAACCAGTTTTTATACAATAGACAAACTATAAAAAGGAGGAAAAGTTGAAGAGACCTTTATTTGCAAAAATCTGAATATTCAAAAGCAGTTTAATGTATTGAAAGATTTAGAAAATCACGCCCATGCTCACGACAGAAAACATTCTCAAAAAGTATATAAAACAATAGGTGTTAATTCTCAATTTTATCTATAGCTTCAATGTGAGAAGAAAATGAAGGCTAAGGCAGAATTATAAGCAATCCCCCTGAGAGTTAAAGAAGAATGTTAATACAGATCTAGTTTTTAAAAGTGATAGTTTTAACATTGCTCTTATTCAAAACACTAATGGAATGCAAGCTAAGGTTTTAATAACTAAGAAAATACCTTGGAGAAATGAAGAAAACCTAGAATTCAGAGTTAGCACATTTTGACTTTTTGAATATAGTTTTCTGCAAAATAGAAACATAAAAACCAATAGAAACACATGACTAATGTAAAGTAAATGCAGAAATTGAAAATATTCCAAATTTTATTGACAAAGAATTTAAAACAACAGTTTTAAGTTGTGTAAAAGAAAAATGACAGAACCGATGAAAGAAAATTATGAGAGCATCAGTGAGAAAAAATATGTAAAAAAAATGAAAAATTTGAGATAAAGAGTACAATGACCGAAAGAAAATCGACAATAAAGGAGTTTCGCAGCAGACTTGAGCTGGAAAATATTCAGTCAATTTTAAGCAATGAAAACTGAAATAACCCAGTCTGATAAATAAAAAAAAAATTAAGTGAAAAAATACTAAGAAGTTAATAGAACACTATGAGCTATATCAATACATGCAATATGGGCATCTCATAAATACAGAAAAAGAAGAGGCAAAAAAAAAATCTGAAAGCAAAGATGACTGAATATTTCCCAAACTTAATTAAAAATCAGAATCTAAAAGTTAAAGAAGGACAAAATCTTCAACCGTAATATAGTCAACGATAGCCACATCAAGAAACATTATAGTCAGTCAAGTGCTAAGACAAAGAAAATTGTAAAACCAGAAAGCGACAAGCAACTTGTTATGTTCAAGGGAATCTTGATTAAAATTAACAGATGATTGTTCAGCAGAAACCATAGAAGTCATAAGGTAGTAGGATATCAAAGTTTTACTAGAAAAAATGCTATCAAACCTGAAATCTGTAACAGGTAAAATGATACATGAGCAAAAATGCCTGGATAAAGGAAAGTTAAAAGAATTTGTTACTAACCTTCTCTAAAAGAGAAAATTATTATTATAACCCTGGCAAAGTTTTCTATTACTGAACACTCAGTGTTTACACATATAATCTGAGATAATAATATAAATTGAAAAGAATGGAAAAGCACAAAAGCAGCACATTTTTATATTGTTTAAATTAAACTTTAGGTTATTGAAACAAGTTAGTGTTATTAAAAGTAGGCTATTTTAAATTTACAATAGTAATTGAAGTCCCAAAATAACCAATTATAATATAAAAAATACAAATTTTTTTCTAAATTAACCACATTTTAAAAATAAAGGAGAATTAAGGATAAAATAAATAATAAAATATTGAAAACAAGTAAATCTCAGAGTAAGTAATGTTTTACTTGTAATAACTTTAAATATGAGTTCTTGCATAAAAAGTCAAAGACTGGCACAAATGCATCCTTAGATAAAAATTAATGTATATGATTTATCCGAAAGGCCAAAAGTAAGATGATACAAGCTTCTGAGAAAAGCATGACAAGTGACTACAGAGCACTATATATCTGTCTCTTCAACTACACTATAGGTGCAGTGTCAGAATTGGTATGATCCTATTATTTTGGAATTCCAGAGTCTACCTGAAGGTTTACAGCTTCCAAAACAAGATTTGTAAACAATAATTAAATTTTATCAATTTTATAGCATAGATGAAAAACAGCTATTTATTCTTTATTAACTACTGCTGTGGTATGCTGCCTCGAAAACACCTCTGGAGCAGCTTGCAAGAGGCATGATAACAGAAAGGACCCTGCCATTTAAATGTCAGAGGACTTGTGCACCTGTTGCTGCTTCTGATTATAGAAGTCCCAAGATAGATGAATAGCCGTTGTTTCATTTCTGAAAGCTTTTGCAGGCTTTTCCTCCTCCTACTCAAGCAACTTTCAGAATATTTAGAGAGCCAGAATATTTTTCCTCATTTTAC
This sequence comes from Homo sapiens, assembly GCF_000001405.40. Taxonomy (NCBI): domain Eukaryota; kingdom Metazoa; phylum Chordata; class Mammalia; order Primates; family Hominidae; genus Homo; species Homo sapiens. The sequence goes on along the minus strand of NC_000024.10, from coordinate 9,169,582 downwards.
TTTTTTTCCTTTTAAGAGGTCAGACATTTATGTACAAAAACATTCAAAAGTAAATATATATAAATAAAAACATAATAAATAAGTATGTTAACCATATCTTCCTCAGATGGTGCAGGCTCAAAAAAGACACAAGAAGTTCAATAGGACTGATTTCCAGGACAGAAAGAGCCTGCATTATAAATAAACAAAACCCTAGCCAATCATAGAGTAAGAAAATCTGATTTTAAAATTACAGCATTTTCATATGTAAATGCCCTTTTTCAGCGTTAACAAAATCACTAACCATAAAGTGAAATAGAAAATTAAGGCTCATTCTAAGAAAAAAAAAATAACTAACACAAGCTTTTCCTACACAGTCCAAATGGCAGGCTTACTAAAAATTATTTTTTTAAATTAATGATCTTAGGAAGGTAATAGAATAAACAAAAAAGCACAGAGAGTCATGAACAAATAAATTATTAATAAAGAGAGAGTAAAATTATTTTTAAAACTAAAAAAATTTCTAGATATGCAAAGTGAAACAACTGAAATAAAAATTCACTACAGACATTTAAAAGCAGACTTGAGCAGATAGAACATAATACCAGCAAACCTAAAGAAAGAGCAATTGAAATTATTAAGGAAGGAAGAGAAAATATATATAAAGAAATGTGAACAGAGCCTAAAACCTGTGGAACACCATCAAGCAGCCTTACTTACACATTTTGGAAGTTCAAAGAGAAGAGACAAAGAATCAGAGAGACTATTTTAAAAAATAGTGGCCAAGAATGTCACAAGTGTGAGGAAATAAATAAACATCCAAGAAGCTCAATAAACTCCAAGTAAGATAAACTCAAAGAAACACACTCCAACTTCCTTGATAATTCAATATTTCTAAACAAAGACAAAGAGAACCTTGAAAGCAGCAAAAGAAGTGACTAGTAATGTACAGAGGACCCTCAAAATTAAAAAGTGGATTTCTTATCTAAAAATTCGAGGCCAGAGAGCAATGGACTAATATATTCCAAGTGATGTAATAAAACAAATTCAAACAGAAATTTTATGTTCAAACTGTCCATCAAAACTGAGAGGGAAATTATGACATTTTCAGATAAAAGCTGATGTCTTTTACCACTGGACTACCCTTGAAGAAATGCTTTATGGGGTACTTCATGGCAAAATGAACACTAGGCAGGAGTATGAATAAATAAATATTAAGGTAAAGATAAATACATAAGCAATTAACAAAATATATATATAAAAATTAACAATGTGCACCTTCACAAGTGATTCTCCACATAATTTAAAACACACACAAACATACATGTGTGTGTATATATATAAATATAGATAATATAATACTATATATATTTTATATATATATTCACTAACTTGTGTTTTTGACATACAGTGCATAAAGGTATAATTTTGAGAACTCAGTAAGTAAAGTAATGGAGGCCAGTCTATACAGGAGTAGGGATTTTTATGTTATTGAATGTATATTAGCGTAACTTTAACAATGTTATAACTTTAGAATGTTTGATATAATGGTCAGAGCAACTGTAAAGGAAAGAGTAACAGGCAGGTAGAAAGCTTTCTGCACTACACCAGAGTAGGAGCGGTGGATTTAGCTTCTCTTATGTGAGAAGCAAGCTATCTTGGCACCCTGAGACCAAGCCCAAGCTCTCTCACCAGGGAGTAAGTGTGGAGAGCCTAAGGCACATACCATAGCTGCTCCTTCACACAACTTTTACTACACCAGTGGCAATGAAGTGGAAGAGACTCATCCATACTTAGTACCTGGTAAAGAACTGGAGGCAGAAAAATGTAACTATGGGAAGACCCTACTGAAATAAAGTTGGCACAGCAACTACCCCAAATCGGTCTCTTTCTTTACGGATTCCCAATAGTTAGAGGTTGAAACTTTTGTTTACACAAGAGAAGACAAAAAAGAGAAGACAGAGTATTTGGTTCAGTGGAAAGGTTATGACAAACAGGATGACACTTGGGAACCAGAGCAGCACATCGTGAACTGTGAAAAATGTTTCTATGTCTTTAACAGATGACAGACTGAAAAGCAGAAAACAAAGACACAGATCAAAACAAGTAGAACTTTTTCAAACAATGCCCCAAAAAAAGAACTTCCAGATCTACCAACACCAACTTTTCTAATAACTCTCCTAATATGTTATTAACTGGCAAACACCACAAGTTCTAAAACAGCCAGTGATTTGCTGCCAGCCACAATGTTAGGAAAAATGCAGCTTCACCTCTCTTTCACCCAAAGCATACGGAGATAGTAAATTCAACTATCAAGACACTTGCACATCAGAGCCCCTTTAACAGCAAGAACAGAGTGACTGACATTCAGGAACCTGAGACACTAAACCCTATTGCACCAGATTAGCAGGACACAGTGGTGTTCAACGTGGCAGTAGAGAAGCCTGTCAGAGCTTTATCAGATCCCAGTGCAGGACCAGCTGGAATAGAAAAAAGGCCACTGATACATGCACTATTGTCTCAGATGTCTGGCTCAGTTACTACTGCATCCATGGTCACAGGCTCAGCTAACAAGGAAGGTATATTGGTATTAATGGACTCATCAACAGCCAACAGAAGAACAAATATGCATACACCTATTACAAGAGTGAGAGGCGGGCAAAGAAAGGTTAATGATAATAACAGAGACCAGCCTTTTATGTAGAGGATGCATGTCACCAGAAGGCTAACAGAAAGTGCCAGCAGATACAGAGACATTGTAGTGAGGAAAGAGGATGGATTCACCTAGATATTGGTATCAACTAGATTGACAGGAGAAAACACACTGAATGCAGAAGTAATGAAAGAAATCATGAATGCTCTGAATATGGCTGCTCCAGATGATAGCAAACTTGTGCTGTTCAGCACAGTTGGCAGTGTCTTTTGCTGTGGTCTTGATTTTGGGTACTTCGTGAAGCATTTAACAAATGACAGAAAGAGAACAAGCATTGAAATGGTGGACAATATCAAGAATGTTTTTGACAATTTCATTCAATTTAAAAAGTCAACTGTTGTATCAGTCAATGGGCCAGCCATTGGACTGGGTGCATCCATACTGCCTCTTTGTCACTTGATTTGGGCTAATGACAGCTTTGGTTTCAAACCCCTTATACAACATTTGGACAGAGTTCAGATGGCTTTCTAGTGTTACATTTCCCAATGATGGGTGAAGCATCTGCCAATAAAATGTTGAGTGCTGTGTGAAAGCTGACAATACAGGAGGCATGTGCCAAAGACCTGGTTTCTCAGGTGTTTTGAACAGCAACTTTCACCCAAGATATTATGGTTCAAATTAATGAGCTTGCCTCATGTAATCCAGTTGTTCTGGAGGAATGTAAGGCCCTTGCTAGCTGTAATATTAAGATGGAGTTTGAACAAATGGCTGAGAAAGAATGTTAAATGCTGAAGAAAATCTGGGGTTCAGCCCATGGGATACAATATATGTTAGCGTAAGTGCAAAAAAAAAATGATGAGTTTTAATTGTCAGTCTGTCTGCTCAGGGCACAATAACTGAGCTGAGAAGAAGACATCATTAGCTGCAAGATGCCCTAATCCATCTGCATATCCCAAAACAATTCCCCCAATATCTAAGACTTGGAAACAGAACTGGAAATGTCGAAGCTATTTATTTAATATTATGAACGAAATTTTAAGTAGTGTAACTTTAAAATAAATAATGAAGCAGCTTCTTTGTCAAAATGTCATAATTTTATGCACATATAAGCCCAAATATAAAATCAGACTGGTGAGCACTTGGCTGTTCTTTCAAATTCTAGTTTTCATGCATGACTACTACTCTACAAAAAAACAAAATTGTGATTTATTAGATTTGAAATACAAAAAACTGTAATTTTTTTTTATTTTTTACTCTAGAATGCAGAATTTAATGGGTTATGAGGCAGCCTCTTCCCCTTTCCCCAAAATGGAGACACAGAAACATCTGAGATGGTGCTTTTGACTTTATAGTGGAACAAATACCACAGAGACACAAAATTCTAAATTAAAAGCCTAATATTTTAGGATAAACATTTCCAACACAAAACTCACTGATGATTTCTCTCCCAAACTGAAATAGGATGCAATTTATGCTGAGATTTCAATGGAATTTCTTCTTCTTTATAAATGTCTAGTTTTTACCCAGTTAACTTGAAGAAATCTTTATCTCTCTAAAACAAAACTTGTTGTACAATATTAGTGCATCATGAAATCATTTAGGTAGAATTATCCAAGTGTTAATGTTTAGAATATATGCTTTTGGGTTAACTTTGAGTATGTTCTATTTAATAAGTTAAAATTCTGGACACATTATTAAAGGCAGAAATTTCTTTCAAAGCAAAGAAAAGATACCTACACTATATCTGACATTTAAATTACTGGTGTTTGCTTTTATGTGCACACTATTTCTTAGACGCTCTACATGTTCAGCCATCGAGAAGCTCTGGCATCCTGTCCTCTTGGATTTTTATGGAGACTCCATTATGTAGGTATGATTGAATAATCCACTGGCTGATGGTGATCAATGTCACCTTTATCACAGGGACAGAGTTAGGTGAATGAGTGAGTGATGGTTGAGCACAGCCACTGCACACAGCTAGCCATATTGGCTATGATGGATGAGCAGTTCCAGGTGCTGGCACAGGGGCCAGCTCCCTAAAGGTCTTTGGCTGAATTTGGCATACCAAAAGCTGTTTCCTCTTCAGGGACTGGGAAATGCAGTGGAATCCAGAAGCTTAGAAATGCCAGAAATTGCACAGCCCCCAAGAGGGTGTCACAACACTGTCTTGCCAAAGCTCTGCTGTCCCTTTTTTTTTGTGGTAAGCAACAATGTGGCAACTTGGGGGTTGTGAGTTTCAGTCCTGTTTGTGTTACTAATTTTTCAGTTTTGCCATTCAGTCCTGAGTCCTTGTCTCATGTCCAGGAAAAATGAGGTATGTGAACAACTAAAAAATAATTAAGGTAAATATGTGCTTTATTGAGTGACAGTACAGTTTGCAGGGTATGTAAAGCGGGCAGCTCCTTTTTACAAGCAGGACCTACTTTCATCTGTGCAGCCCTCAGTGACAAGTAGAACCAGAGTGAGGAGCTCCAATCTGCAGGCAGTTCGTGCTGATATCTCTGCAGTCCTCAGTAAGGATGAGATGCAGAGTGGCAAGCTTTTATCTGCAGGAAGGTTGTTGAGATGTTGCTACAGCCCTTAACGGAGAGGAGACCTATCTAACTGCAGGCATGTAATGCCAGTAATTGCACAACTCTCAGTCGAGAGGAGACCGACAATGGTTAGCTCCAACTTGCAAGCAAGTTATCCATGATCTGCCTAACTCTGGAGTTCATATGGGCTTCAGTAGGCAGAAGTACTGTGCTGATTGGTCAGTGGTGCTATTGGTGGGCCCAGAAAGAGACATAATTTTTCATTCTCATCTCCAGAACATGCAGCCCAGCCCCCAGTCTTCAGAAAATCCATGGCTTGAAGATGGAGTTTTAATGAGAAACTGCTTCTTTCTGCCTAGATGCCTGTCTGTCTCCTGCTACAGTTAATGGTACCAAGGCTATTTTTGCAAAGACAAACCTCCAGGCCCATACCAAGCTGCCCTCAGCCCCTAACCAACTCCTTGAGTCTCCTATGCTCACTGAGGCCAAAAGACTAGAGAAAGCTAAGGTGGCATATGGTTTTTGTTTCAGTACAACCTCAAGTGTAAGCACTCCTGGTCAGATCATGACAGCACCTGGGCTCAGCCAAAAATTTTCTTCAACATTCAAGGGGACACTAGGATCTGGGAGAGGCCAGGCAATGGGATTTCAGAGGCTTTGTAGGAAGGATGGCTTTCCAGGCCCCAGAAAGCACAGGGATGCCTGAGTCTGCAGCATGGCTAGGCAGCTGCAACTGTGCCTGAGTAGGTGAGGTTTCTGCTAATTCCACTTGGATGTGGGTGTGGCTTCTCTCTGTTCTTGGTTCCCACCAGCTTCACAGAGTGAAGAGCCCTGGCTGCCCCTCCTTCACTACACCTGGCATCTTTTCTGCAGCCCCTCTAAATAGGCTGCTTCTGCCAGTACCCGCAGCAACTCTCCTATTCCAAAATAATGCAGGGTGATCCTGGGAGTCCCTGCACACTTATCAAGTCTTGTCTTTTTATTAACAAGCCCCAACCTGAAGCTGTCAGTTATTAGCATATAAAAAGACATCACTTTGGAGATTCCAAAGAACTCAGGATTTCTATGCCAGAAAACAGAGACAAACACCAAATATATTTCACAATCTTACAGCTACTTAAAAGAAACCCTAGGACTAGAGTCCTGGGTAGAATTCCACTGTCAAATTCTACCAAATGATCTAAGAATTAAAACAATTTATTCTCTTTTTCAAAGTCGTTTATTTTAAAAGAAGAAAGTGCAGGTTGAACATTGCTAACATAAAAACATTAAATGTACTCCAATGTGAAACTTGAGTGATGACATGACACAAGCGGAAAGCTCCACAGAATATTTCTTCACACAGCTTTGTTTTATGCACAAAACACATTAAATTTACCTTCATGATGTGGGAGAGAAAAAACAGGAAACTAGGAAGGGTTCTTGGTAAAACTCTTTTAAGCACAGAAACAGACTGAAAAGTTAAGTTGCAGGCAACTGTAAGAGAACTAGAAGAGGAGAGTAGCAAAAGACATGTTCACAGCTGCAATAATCAGAAAACAGGAAAGAACATGAAAATGCCTTTGCGTTTTTGCCTAAAACATATGCACAGCTGCACAGATAGGGGAGGAAGGCCACATGTAGAGATACCTTTGTCATTCATATAATCAGCAGGCTTCAAAAAAATAGACAATTCTGTCTTTGTGGGCATGATACCTAGTAGGCTCTAGTGGGCTCTGCTGGGACACTTTTCTACTTTGAATATGTTTTGACCTGTGAGCCAAGTGTTTCTGAATCATCCCTTCAGCTTCTGTGTTTTCCTGATGCAATGCCCCAAACAAAGCTTTTATTTCATCCTCTGATTTGTCCCAGGTCAGGTCCTGAACCAAGCTGATTACTGCTTTCTTCAAGATAGCCCACATGCAACTCAGAATATTTCTTTCTTTCCAGTTCACAAAAACCTCAGACCCAGCATTATAGTTGGAAAGTCTCATGGGTCCCTTCTTTAATGTGAACAGCTTTCTTCTTTTGATTATTAAACTTCTGTCTTATCTGAACTTTATGTGTAGTTTCATTAATTATCTTGGTCATGAAACAACACTTCAGCATGTTATTGGTCCCAGGCCAAGGTATCAGACCAAGCTTTCACTTTAGCTGCTGCTTGGTCCAGGGCAAAGGATGAAGGCCAAGCTAAGTTGTATCTATAAATCATTACTTAACCTCCTGATGAATCCCCAGCCAAAGTGCAGGGCCAAGCTGAGTAATGTTTCTCCAAGACCACTAAGCACATTTCTTTCATTTTCTGTCTTTATCAACCCTGAAGCCCAGCCTTATAGTAGGCAAACAACTTACACCCCACCTCCACTGTAAAGAGCTTTTTACTTTCACTTATAAAACTTTTGCTTCAACCTGTTTGCATCCATGCTCCTTAATTTTCTTGGCCATGAGACAAAGAGCTCTGCTTGACACCTCACAATGAGAGATTGCTACATTGTGGTGCATTAATGAGATGGCAATAAATGAAGTGTGGGAATTGAGATCTGGGATGCATTAGTCTACTGGACCATCTGGGAAACTGGCCCCACACTGTGATGAACACTCTTGGAGGCAGTCCAACATGTAGTAGTCACCAACACAGGATGGAAAGGGTCAAGGTAGCTACATTTTGATGCCTTAGCCATTCTTCCTAAGGTACCCTGGCTTACCTCACTGAGAGGAGTTTACAGGTGAATGTCAAGTATCTTGGATTTTATGGGCCTGTAATTGGGTCACTGGTCTTTGTCTTTATTTTGCATCATCTCTTTTTGCTGTGGCTGTTCCTGAGTCCTGTCATAAAAGATAGAGAAGGTTATGCCCACGAAGTTTCCCAAGGTAGTGTACAATTCCAGAGCCTTCCTCTGAAGTTTTCTTCTGATATTAGTAGGTGCCTGAGTAATAAACTTGCCTTTTAAGATTATCCATGTATTAATTGATTCAGGAGCTACAAAAGTGTGTTTCATGAACGTCCCTCTGCCTTTTCATAAAGGCTGAAAAATTTTTATCTGGTTTCTGATTCAATATGGTCCCTTTGAGTACCTTTTGTATTTTACGCTGGCTGTAGAAGACATGCAGTTGTCCCTGAATCTCTCTTGTTGCATGTAGGGCTGTCTGTTTCTCAGAAGCAGTTTGAGTTTGGCTGGTCCTAGGCCATGCTATTATTTTAGCTCTTGAATGGTCCAGGGCCAAGTTCCTGAGCCAAGCTGAATCACTTCTGAGTCACTACTTTAGCTCCTAATTTGTCCCACGTCAAAGTCCCTGGAAAAGTTCAGCAGTGCTTTCTTCAAGAATAGTTAGGACATTCTGTTTCTTCCCATTCCATAAAAAACATCAGACACTTCCTTATCGTGGGCAACTCACTTTCCTCCACAAGAAGTTAACTTATTAAACATTTGCTACAATCTCATCATTTTCATTCATGGCTTTTAATTTCTTGGCCTTTAGATTAAAAAAAATATATGTGACACCTCAGAATGAGAAACTGATACGCTGTGGTGTGTTGGGGGACAGCAACTACGTTTTTGGTGCATGAACTGGAAAAAGATTAATTAAAAAGTGACTAGGAGTGCACCTCCAAACTATTTACATTCATTTCTGAGGCTTGTTGTCCTCAGGGTTTTCTTTTTTAATTTCTCAAGAGCACACAAAACACTGGGCCAGTGTCAGTTAAAATCCAGTAAAATGGCTACCATCCTTACAAGGCTCAGGAGATAGGCCTGCTGGGAAACACTCTGGCAATCCCCCTTTACCCTTAGGTGTCAAAAATGTTGCCTCTGTTCCAATTCAGTTTTCTTTCATGGAGGACCTAGTCATCATGTGGGGCTGAAAGAAAATCTTGAAAAACTGAAGGTTTCTGGTTAAGACTACACCACGGTGTTACCCGAAAGCCTCGGGACTAACTACAGTTTCTGACAGCCCATAATTATGTTGCCACCAAAAATTCCAGAAATTTCTGTTGCATTTTTTTTCTTTTTGTGACTATTATATATTCTATTTCCTGTTTGTATGAATGTTGAAACCTGGAGATATAATCTTATGGGGTAATGTCAGCTGGTGTGTTAGTAATTAAAAATGTAATGAAAAGAGATGCTATTTTGTGATTTTTTTGGAACCAGAAAGAACTCAAATTGTACTCTAAAAATTTTTATTTGGTGAGTGTTTTTTTGTCCCCCAGTGACAGATATTCATGGCACTGTATGGAAAGATATACATTCAGAAGAAAGTTTTTGTTTTTGTTGGTTATTTCTCTGTAAAAAGCTCAGCATTGCCATATAAATCTAAACAGTTTCTTTATGAGACACATTAATCTTTTTTTCTCCAGAGACACGAACTGTGGGGACAACCTATAGAGTTTTCCCCTTCTTTTTCTAACTTTTGGCTACAAAAATCTTGGAGTCAGAGTTTTCATCTAACATTTTAGATCTTACCATGTCACCTAGTGTGATGAAATTTTTCTCTGTAGGAAGACTTGTCAGTACTTTGCCCAAAACCCTGAGGTTTTCAACTCCTCTCTCTCCTGTGTCTCTCTAACAGTAATAAGACTCCATGCCCTATCTGTAAACAGAAAATCTCTACTTTCAATAGTTGGCAGAAAGTTGCCTTTGAGAGACATATTCTAGCTCCGGGCTTTTCTCTCTCTCTCTGTTTTGAGATGGAGTCTCATTCTGTTGCCTAGGCTATAGCACAGTCATGCAATCTCGGCTATTGTAATCTCCACCTTCTGAGTTCAAGTGATTCTCCTGCCTCAGCCTCCTGAGTAGCAGTGATTACAGGTGCACACGACCATGCCCAGCTAATTTTTGTAATTTTTGTATAGATGAGGTTTCACCATATTGGTCAGGCTGATCTCGAACTTCTGACCTCATGACCTGCCCACCTCTGCCTCCCAAAGTGCTGGGATTACAGGCATGAGCCACCGCACTTGGCCACTTAGGGCTATTTTAAGAAGACCAGCCATTCAAGCCCTACATTTTTGGAGGTATGTATTCTGCTTCCAGCAGCAAGTGGCATTTAAACTAAAAGAGAATTTTATGTTTCAAAGTCAATCGATCTCATTTTCTAGAATTTCAAGATTTTACTAGGGCAACAGCAAAGAAAGACAGAAATAGTATTGAACATCTCCCTGTGCAAAAGGTCCTTGCTCAAATCAAACTACCCATAATCTTTCTTAGGTTGCCAAGTTACCTTTGGAATCTTCTGGGTTGAGTATGCTTAGGAGACCAACAAAGGATCACTAGTGGAGAGCTAACGCCTTGTGCAGGTGAACATTACTTCTCCTTCTTACTAGCTCCTCTGGAACCATGGGTGAAGATTATGATTGTATCCATGGAGGACACCTATGATAGTTGCCAGATCCATAAAAGACAAGAAAAATGAAAAAACAATGAACACACTTTAGATCTTCCTTTTCACTCAGGGTTTTTCAAAAAGAGGAAGGAGACTGTGGGATTCTTTCTCTTTCTATATATTTTGAAAGGTCACAAACCTTCTGCATTCTGGACTTCTCTAGGTTGCATTCAGAAACACTGGAATTTATTTGACCATGTGACTCTGAAAAAAAGTGGTTTTGTTTGTTTGTTTTGGCAAAAGGGCATGGCTATCTTACCAGCTCCAGACAGGCAGGCCTGGCTTCCTGAGGGAAGTGTTCATTTTAATACTGTTCAACAACTAGATCTTTTCTTGAGATGGGAAAAAAAACACTTTGAAATTTTCTATGTATAAGCTTACTTTGATTTTGGAGACAACCCAGATCGTCATAAACATTGTAAAATTGACTGCCCTCTTGGCAGTCACATCAGGCAAGTTTAAAACAATAATTTATTAAAGTCAGAGACAAACCCCTCAGGAACCCTCAAATGTGACTTCTAAATGCCCTACCTGCCACCCTTATGCAGGCCCTCCAACAGCCATTTCATCAGCTTTTCTTCTTGTGCCACCAAGGAAACTTCCAACTTCACTGCTGCCCCTGCAGGAAATAATCGATAGATGTGGTGCTACTAGAGTTCAAGTTTTCTTCTCATTTCAGGGCCTTACACAAATAGCAGGAAACAAGCAAGTCCTCTGATGACCCTGATTCATATACAGAGGCATTTCAAAGCATAACCCAAGTGTTCAATCTTACTTGTAAAATACTACATTACTCCTAAAGCAATCCCTAAATGTTACAGTAAAGCAGGCAGCTTTATAGATAGCAGAATTTTTTATAGAGGAAATGTGTGTTTCTTACAGCCAGCCAAAATTCAAGAAGAAGGGAGGGTGAAAGGGGAAAAAAAAGTTAAACAAATAGCAAAATGTTTATTTCTAATAAGAAAGGAAACAGCGTTTCTTGAAAACCCAATTGACATCTTGGTGATCTTGTAGATGAGTGAAAAAAAAAATCTAATTAGCATACTGGAAGGTTGATGAGAGAACAGGGCCATACTTCTTAATTACTCTAAGGTACTGATAACAGATTAAAACTAGATGAAAATTATTTAGCCTTTACCTCCAGAATTACTTGGATCCTCTGTATCACAATGGCTGTAGAGCCTGGGACCCATTATTCCTGCTGAACAATCAGGGGAAAACACATTTGATTGGTGACAAATGTCACTGGGGTCATTTTTACTTTCACTGGTCTCCACCACAGGCTGGACAAAGTTAAGTATATTCTTCTTGCTGCCTGTGCAATCCCTTTGAAAGTGTCCTGGCTTGTCACACCAGTAGAAATTAGCAGGTGCACCTTGGTAATTCTGCAACTTGTAGGCCTGTAATGTAGCCGTAGTACCTCTTTCATTCTCTTATGACCCCCCTGGATTTTCTGGGACTCCTTGTTCCAGGTCTTCTTGTAAAAGACTGAAAAATCCACCCCAGGAGGCTGTCCACAGTGCTGAGTCATCCCATGGCCTGCTTTTGTAGTTTTCTTCTGATATTAGGGGCTGTCTGAGAAATAAACATGTATTTTAACATAATCTGTCTGTTGATGGATTTAGGAGGTAGAGAGGTATGTTTCACTAAAGCTTCTCTCAGACTTTCCAAAGAGCCTAAGAGATTTTTATCTGGCTTGTGATTCAACAATGGTAGTTTAGATTATTTAAGAGGTTTTGTTCTAGTTCTTTGGAAGCCTGCTAATATGCACGTAAGAAAGTGTTTTCTTATCCACTTATCCATGGGATCACTCAGACATCAATTAGGGTTTTCAAAAAGCACTGTTTTTGTATGTATTGGAAATAGTAATTCATCTCTTTTTTACTAATTTTTTTCCTTCAACTGTGTTTCTTTCCTGACTATAGGGTACTAGTTGTTCATCTTCAAAATTCTTTGCTCCCTGCAATGCTGCCTGTTTTTCAGCAGCAGCAGCAGCAGCAGTTAAAATTTGGCCTAAAAGTCTCACAACATTTCTGCACATTAGATTAAACACTTGGTTTAAATTTTGAAAAGCCTGTGTATGTCTATCAGGGTCATCAGAGAACTTGCCTGAGTCCTGCTTTATTGGTTTAATGTTACTGCAATGATAAGGAAATTTAAATTAGTTCCACCATGTTCATTGGGCATTTGCTATACAGGCAACAGCAAAGTTGGAGGTTTCTTAAGGTAGCACAATCAGAGGAGTTTCTATATGGCTATTGGCAGCCCCAGATAAAGAAGGCAGATAGGGCACTAGAAATAGCATCTGAGGGTTCTCCAGAGATTTCTCTCTCTGACTTTTGAAAATTATGTATTGTACATTTGCTTTGTATGGCTAATAAAAAGGCAAAGTAAATTCCACAATGCTTACAAAATTCAAATTTTCTTGAAGGGCAAAAGAGCCTTAGTTGCCAGATAGTATTGAAACTATTCTTCTTTGAGAAGGCCAGGCCTTCTCTTTGTAAAATGGCCACTTTGTTGTCAGCAGAATATAAGCTGTTTTTTAAATGTATATGTATATGTATATTTACATTTATTTGTATTTTGAAATAGAGTCTCATTCTGTTGACCAAGCTTTAGTGCAATGGCACAATCTTGTCTCAGTGCAACATCTGCCTCTGGGGTTCAAGGGATTCTCCTGGCTCAGCTTCCTGAGTATCTTGGAGTAAAGACACCTGCCACCACATCCATCTAATTTTTGTATTTGTAGCAGAGATGGGATTTTACCATGCTGACCAGTCAATCTGCCCACCTTGCCCTCCCAGAATGTTGGGACTACAGGTGTGAGCCACAACACCTGGCTTAAGCTTCTTTTTTTTTAATTCAGAGTCTCAGGGTTGATGGAATTCCAGTGTTTCCAAATGCATATCATTGGAATGCACTCTGCAGATGCATCGTTGCCATCTAGAAACAGAGGGGAGACAAGGTGTCCTTGAGACCTGTTCCTGCTTTTGTTGTGATGCAGGGTAAATAGAAAATGTTACGGTACCCTTCTTCTACTTCCCCTGTCTCATCTGGGTCTGAAAATCTACCATACATGCTTCCCATAAATGAAACAACAACCTTTACTCAAGGATTTGGGGAGAGCTAGTCAGCTTACTAGCCGTGCTTACCTGCATGAAGCATCTACTCCGTTTTTAGGGAGACGTTATTTAGTAGGAGAATTTGTGCAAGACTTTTTAATGGAGAAAATGTCCTCATACTAACTTGCTTTTCCTAACTATGTTCCCAGAGAAACATCAGAATCTCAGAGAATGAGAGAGATTGACTTTCAAACATTTTAAATCCCAAATTAAGAAAATGGAGAATAGGTGCCTCAAAAGAGTGCAAAAGCTGAATGGCTGGTCCTTCATTAGACGGGGACAGCAAAGAGGTTAAAATCTGCCCTTCAACAGTGTCTTCCTCCCAACAGTTAAAGTGGAGGCTGCCTGCTTACAGATAGAACATGGGGCCTAATCACTGCTAGAGGAATATCATTGGGAAAATAATTAGGAAACCATAAGTTTTGGACAATGACTTGCCAAAGCTTTCAATAGAAAAGAAATCTCACTTCACTAGGAGGTATTGTAAGGCTAGAAATGCTAGGTTAAAAATCCTGACTCCTGGCCAGACATGGTGGCTCACAACTGTAATCCCAGCACTTTGGGAGGTCAAGGCAGGTGAATCACCTGAGGACAAAAGTTTAAGACCAGCCTGACCAACATGGTAAAAACCCATCTGTACTAAAAATACAAAAAAATCCAGGCATGGTGGTGGGCACCTTTAATCACAGCTACTCAGAAGGCTGAGGCAGGAGAACCACTTGTACCTGGGAGGTGGAGGTTGTAGTAGTAGGCCAAGATCCCACCATTGCACTGCATCCTGGATGCCAAGAGCAAAAACTCCATCCAAAAAAAAAAAAAAGAAAAAAGAAAGAACAATAATTCTGACTCCAAACTCACTTCAGCCAAAAGTTAGAAAGACAGTTCAGGGTTTGATCAGTTGTCTCCAGTGTATACCCCCAATCAGGCAAAATTTAACTTGTCTCATGATATAACTGTTCTATGGAAAACAATAATATCTCTTAAAAATCTAAATTAAAAAAAGAGTATTCACTTTGGGTAAAATATCCTCCCATACAGTGCCATAAAACTCTATCATTGTTGGACAGAAAGGCCCTTAATAGGTAAATGTTTATACTGAATTCTTGAATTCCCCTTGTTTCAGGGAAATCACAAAAACAAACCTTTCTGAATTACATTCCTGCTTAGTCATTGAGTGACTCTACTCAGCAAAATTTTATACCTAGGCTGTAAAAATGCCTAGAGCATTCCATACCAAAAAAATGGATAAAAGACATAATAGCTGTGAGAAGAAAAATGGTAAATTTAATAGACAAAAACTGGAAGTCCTTGTGCTAACAGCCTGATGAGCTGTTAGGGACTGGAACTAGTCTAAGGGCAATCAGATTACAGAGTTGTAACCTCAGTGAGAAACTTGCAGTTTCCCTAGGATCTCCTTTACATCCCATGTGGTAGCCAGGCTCTTCATGAAAGAAAACTAGATTGAAAAAAACAAACACGTTTTTGAAATGAATGTAAAAGATTAAAGATCCATTCTTACCCTCTTATGAATTATTTGTTTCTCAGCCCATGCATCAATATATGTTGTAGTCCCACCAATGCACCAAGATATAGTAGTATCCCTTCATATGATATTATACCCAAAGACTTTTGTATTACATCCAAAAAAAAATTAAGAAGCTATGGCACCAACGATGAGATTAAAACAAAAGAGATGAGTAAAAGAAAAAGCTCTCTTCTAGTAAAAAGAGAGGCCCAACTGTGTTTTCTACTATGAGGCTGGGTTTCAGGGTTATAATAAAGTGGGAAGACAAAGAAATGTGCTTAGTCAGTGGGCTGTTTGGAAGAACATGTGATTCAGCTTGGCCCAGGGTCTTTGCCTGAGATTAATTAAAAAGCTTAGCCCAGGAGGCTTGCACAGAAATAATCAGGGACTGAAGTCATAATTTATAGTGGATGTTCAGCTTATCCCATGACCTATCAGGAGCTGATGTTAAAGCTTGGCCCAAGAATTTGGCCCAGGCCTAATTAATAACTAAAATAATGATTCATAGAGGCCCAGCTCACAGTCCAAAAAGAAAAAATCAGTGCCAACCAGAACCCACTCTGTTTATGTTTCCAAATGAAGAAGAAACTGCTTCCTGAGAGCCCACTGATTATAAAAAGGACAAGGATATTTTTATGCCAGGCCTAGTTTTGTTATTTGAGTGAATCAGAATTTGTGAAAGATTTTTATCTGAATGGATTGAAGGTTCTTCTGCCTGTAAACACACAGGTGCCTCTCTAGGTACAACACCCATGTGTTAGTTATCTTATTGAAGTCTGCAATCTGATTTATTTTTCAGGCTGCTTAGTGTAGTATGTATAAATGATGCAGTGACCTCTAGGCTGGGGGTTTCCCAGGAACAATTCCTTGCTGTCCCCCTAAGTCAAGCTAGCTTTCTCCTCTCAGAAACATTCTAGAGAACCCCTGAATGTGGCTACTTCAGACTTACAATAGGGAACAAAAACAAGCATAGCAGAATAAGAGAAAAGAAAAGAAAAGAACAGAGACTCTAAAGACCACAATACAGGTCTATAAAATGTGGGTCCCTGAGGGCACCTGATAACTGTTATCAGTTTGGCAAGACAGGACACTTAACAAGAAATGCTGAGACAACAAAGGAAACCAACTTAACACTGTCCAACTTGTTGTGGTAACCACTGAAAGGAGTGCTGTTTCCAGAGGCATACATCACTAGGCCCAGGATCAGTCTCACAAATGCTCTAGCAGGATTAATAATTCCTAGATATCAATTCCTCAGCTCTAAGAGCTGCCATACTCCTCAAGGGCCATACTCCTTAGGAGCCTTGAGTGATTCTTGAGGTGGGAGGGAGGAAGGTAGAATTCCTTCTGGAAGCTGGAGCAGGTCTTTTTGTTCTCCTCTCCAATGTAGGTCTTCTATCCTTCCATTATGTGACAAATGATTGATGTGTCAGCAAAGAACTTTACCCAATATTTTCTCAGCTCACAGTTATAGTTGGAACGACCTTCTATTTACTCATGCCAATTTAGTCATTTCTGAAAGTTTCACTTTATTACTAGGTAGAGATATTCTGGCCTATACAGGAGGCATCATCTTAATGGCTCCAGGACAAATGCTTTGTCTCCCCTTAGTGGAAATCAATATTAACTAGGTAGAGATATTTTGGCCCATATAGAAGCCACCATCTTAATGGCTCTGGACAAAATCTTTTTCTCCCCTTAGCGGAAATCAGTATTAATGAAAAGGTGTGGGATATCAAGAAAAAACTTACTGAACTACAGCCACTACATGCATCAATATTTACCTTAAGGATCCCACTATTCTTTCTAGCCAGATGCATTATTTCCCAAAGCCATAAAGTAGAAAAATGCTAGAAGACATTATAAATAAGCTATAGGAGAAAGGCCTCCTTAGACCCCACATCAGTCTTTAAAAAACTGCAAATATTAGGAGTAGAGAAACTCAATTAGGATTGGAGGCTAGTTAAGAACACTTGTCTCACTATTGAGGCAGTTTTTCCACTCTATGTGGTTGTTCTTAATTCTTGTACTTTGCTAACTCAAATTCCCAAGAGAACTGAATGATTTAAAGTTTTAGACCTGAAGGATGCCTTTTTTATTTTTATGATTGCACCCTGGTTTCCAATACCTCTTTTCCTTTGAGAATCTGTCCAAACAGGATACACAGTTAACACGGAAAGTATTGCCACAGGGGTTTAAGAAAGCCTCCATCTGTTTTAGTAGACATTATCAAGAGACCTCTCTGAGTTATCTCATCCTCAGGTTAAAGTTTTACAATATGACATTCTCCTCTGTGCCCCAACTGAGAAGGCTTCTCAATTATCTAGCAAGCAGAGGTTATGAAGAATCACAATGTAAGGCTCAGCTTTGTCATACCTCAGTGAAATACTTAGGCCTGGTCCTATCAGAAGAAACTAGAGCATTAGTCAAGGTGAGGATTTATCCCATTTCCTCTTTTTCTTTTCCCCCATCTCTAAAATTAAGAGGATTTGGGGGCATTATCAATTTTTGCAGATTGTGGATACCGACCTATGGTAAACTAGGTAACCCTTTATATCACGTTATAAAATAAACTCAAGAAGCTATGGCTAACTTTCTAATCTGGGCACTTGAAGCTCAAAATACCTTTAAGCAGCTAAAACAAGCCTTACTGAAAGCACGTACCTTCAGTTTTCCTATAAAGTTGACATTTAAATTTTATGCTTCAGAAAAGAAATGGATGGCCTTGAGAGTTTCAACTCAGGCCCATGGTCGAGACAAGCAGTTGGTAAGTTACCTAAGCCAAGATCTCAACTTGCTGCCTGAAGAATAAACAGACTGCCTCCAAGCAGTTGAGTAGCAGTGTTGGACATGCTGCTGTGGGAAGCCACAAAGTTAACGATGGGGAATAATTTTACTGTTTACACCCACATAATTTAGGAGAACTGCTATCCTCTAAAGAATGTTTTTGGATAATAGACAATCTTTTCCTAAAATATCAAGCTTTGCTGCTGAAAAGTTTGTAGTTTGGTTAACAACCTGACTTTGCTTGAACCCAGGAAATTTTTTCCCAGAAATAACTGAAGAACCTGTATATGATTGTGTTGGGAACAAGCCCCCCAAAATCTGGCCAAAAACTGGCCCCAAAACTGGCCACAAACAAAATCTCTGCAGCATTGTGACATGTTCATGATGGCCATAAAGCCAACTCTGGAAGTTTGTGGGTTTACAGGAATGAGGGCAAGGAATACCTCACCTGCCCAGTATGGAAATCCACTTAAAGGCATTCTTAAGTCACAAACAATAGCATGCATGATCTGTGCATTAAGGACATGCGACTGCTGCATTTATGTAGCCCAACCTATTCCTTTAATTCTGCCCATCCCTATGTTTCCCATAAGGGAGACTTTTAGTTAATTTAATATCCATAGAAACAATGCTAATGACTGGCTTGCTGTTAATAAATATGTGGGTAAATCTTTGTTTGTGGCTCTCAGCTCTGAAGGCTGTGAGACCCCAATTTCCCAATTCACACCTCTACATTTCTGTGTGTGTGTCCTTAATTCCTCTAGCACCACTGGGTTAGGGGTTCCCTGACTGAGCTGGTCTTGGCAAGTGGCGTCCATCATGGGGGCTTGAATCCAGGTTGAAGCATCACCAGAGTGATGGTTTGAGAAGGTGGAACTAGCTGGAGGACACCCGAGTACTCTTAAAACAATCCCCGTGGTGAGTAATAAGGGGAGCTCAGAAGCATCAGGGTAACAATGGGAGAAGTGTGAGGTGTGTTTCGTTCCACCTTGGAACTTTTTCGTACTGATGATGAGGAGGAAGGAGAATATAGGGAAGTAACAGAAGAGGTTACAGAGCATGTTTATTTGCCAGCTAAAGCTAAAGCGGCAAAGGAAGGAGAGGTTCATCCCTATACTTCTGCACACCCTCATTATTATTATGAAGAAAAAGACCCTCCATATCTTTCTTTTCTGGAGGACACTGGGCAAAAAGCATTTGCCCCCATGACTGTTCAAGCAGCACCTTGAGTGACCACTCTTAGTTCTATTCAGGCAGGAATTCAACAAACTAGATGGGAGGGTGATTTAGAGGCTTGGAAGTTCCCTGTTAGAATACACCACCGAGGTCAACAGGGAAATATTATAGCTACATTTGAGCCTTTTCCTTTTAAATTACTCAAATAATTTAAACAAGCTATAAATCAGTATGGACCAGGTTCTCCTTTTGTAATGGGACTGTTAAAGAATGTTGCTGTTTCCAGTCGGATGATTCCTACTGACTGAGATGCTCTTACTCGAGCTTGTCTAACTCCTGCTTAGTTCCTACAATTTAAAACTTGGTGGGCAGATGAAGCTTCCATTCAGGCTGCTCACAATACCCATGCCCAACCTTAAATTAATATAACTGCAGACCAACTTTGGGGGTTGGCGGCTGGGCTGGTTAAGATGCACAACTGGTCATGCAGGATGATGACATAGAACAGCTTAGAGGAGTGTGCATTAGAGCTCGGGAAAAAAATCACTTCATGTGGAGAACAATATCTTTCCTTTACTGCTATAAAACAGGGACCTAAAGAACCCATACACTGATTTTATAGCTCTGTTACAGGAGTCTCTTAAAAAGATGACTGCAGATTTGGCTGCTCAGCATATAGTGTTGCAGTTATTAGCTTTCAGCAATGCTAATCCTGATTGCCAGGCTGCTCTGTGACCTATCACAGGGAAAGCACATTTAGTTGATTATATCAAGGCCTGTTATGGTATCAGAAGCAATCTGCATAAAGCTACTTTGTTGGCACAGGCAATGGCAGGACTGAGAGTGGATAAAGGAAATACTCCATTTCCTGGAGCTTCTTTAAACTGTGGGAAGCATGGTCATACTAAAAAAGAATGTAGAAAAAATCAGGGAGTCAGGCCACCAGATAGGAGAAAAAAGATAACTGCTGAGCATGAAATATGTCCAAAATGTATAAAAGGACAACATTGTACTAATCAGTGTCACTCTAAGTTTGATAAAGAAGGGAACGCAATTTCAGGAAATGCCATGGGGTGCCCATCCTGGGCCCTCTTCTAAACTGGGGCATTTCTAGCTCAGGCTCTTCCCTCACCTCTGTACAATGTCTGTCCACTGCCACAGCTGGTAGTGCCCCAGTAGATTTATGCTGCACAAAAGCTGTGAGGCTTCTGCCTGGGGAACTGCCACAAAAGTCCCAACAGGAGTCTGTGGACCCTTGCCAGCAGGGACAATAGGATTACTTCTAGGCAGCTCTTGTTTAAGTTTAAAAGGGGTATAAATACATACAGGAGTCATTGATTCAGATTATAATGGGGAAATTGAAATTGTTATATCTACTTCTGTTCCCTGAAAAGCAGAGCCAGGAGAGTGTATAGCACAGCTCCTGATTGTGCTGTATATGGGAATGGGAAAATGTGAAATTAAATGAACAGGAGGACTTGGAAGCACAAATAAACAAGGCAAAGCACCTTATTGGGTAAATCAAATTACTGATAAACATCTTACCTGTGAAATAACTATTGAGGGAAAGAAATTTAAAGGTTTGGTAGATACAGTAGCAGACATTTCAATCATTTCTCTACAGCACTGGCCATCCAGATGGCCAATTCAACCCGCTCATTTTAACAGAGTTGGAGTTGGTAAAGCCCCTGAAGTATATCAAAGTAGTTCTATTTTGCTTTGTGAAGGGCCTGATGGACAACCTGGGACTATTCCACCAATTATAACTTCGGTACCTATAAATTTATGGGGAGGAGATTTATTAAAACAATGGGGAGCACAAGTTCTAATTCCAGGACAATTATATAGCCCTCAAAGTCCACATATGGTGCATGAAATGGGGTATGTTCCTGGTATGAGACTATAAAAAAATTGCAAGGGTTGAAACAAAATCTTCAAGTGGAAAGACAAATTCTCGCCAAAGATTAGGAAACAGTTTTTCATGGCGGCCATTGTTAAGCCTCCAGAAGCTATATCTTTAAAATGGTTAAGAGATAAGCCAATTTGGATAGAACAATGGCTGCTAAGTAAAGAGAAACTGGAGGCTCTAGAGAAATTAGTTACTGAACAATTAGAAAATGGGCACATAGCTCCAACATTTTCCCCTTGGAATTCTCCAGTTTTCATAATTAAGAAAAAAATCAGGTAAATGGAGAATGTTAACTGACTTAAGAGCTATCAATTCAGTTATAAAACCTATGGGAGCATTACAGCCAGGATTGCCTTCTCCTGCTATAATTCCAAAAAGAATTGGCCTTTAGTAGTCATAGATTTAAAAGACTATTTATTAACTGTCCCCTTAGGTGAGCACGACTGTGAATGGTTTGCATTTACAATCCCTGCGGTAAACAATCTGCAGCCTGCTAAGCATTTTCATTGTTTTATAGATGGGTCTGATAATGGTAAAGCTTCCTATTCTTGGTCAAAAAGTAAAGTTTTTCAGAAGCCCTATACTTCAGCTCAAAAAGAGGAACTTGTAGCTGTAATTGAAGTATTTACTGCTCTGATATGCCTATTAATGTGATTTCTGATTCTTCATAGGTGTTTCATTCCACACAGTTAATTGAAAAGGCTCAGTTATGATTTCATGCAGATGAACAACTGATGCCTTTATTTACCCAACTGCAAACAGCAGTTAGAAGTAGCATGTACCCTTTTTACATCACTCACACTCATACACCTCTTACAGGACCTTTGACTGAAGGGAATCAAATGGCTGATCACCTAGTTGCTAATGCAGTATCTAATGCTAGCCACTTTCACAATTTAACCCATGTTAATGCCTTGTCTCAAATGCAGATACAGCATTACCTGGAAATAAGTTAAGCTATTATCCAGTGATGCCCAAGTTGCCAAATGGTACATTCCTCATCTTTTATAGGAGGAGTTAATCCTCGAAGATTGGAACCTAACTCTCTTTGGCAAATGAATATCACACTTGTTTCCTCATTTGGGAGACTAGCCTATGTACATGTATGTGTGGACACCTTTTCTCACTTTGTCTGGGCCACATGCCAATCAGGAAAGCCTTCTGCCTGTGTTAAGCATCACCTTTTGCAGTGTTTTGTGGTGATGGGCATTCCAGCTTCTACTAAAACAGATAATGCCCCAGGCTGTACTATCCAAACTCTAGCTACATTTTTCTCTATGTGGAATATTAAACACATTACTGGTATCCCATACAATTCTCAAGGACAAGCCATAGTGGAAAGAATGAATCTTTCCCTAAAACAGCAGTTGCAAAGGAGAAAGGGGGAAATGGAGAATATGGAACCCCATAGATGCAATTGAATCTAGCATTATTAGCTTTAATTTTTTTGAGCCTGTCCAAAGGCCAGATGTTATCAGCAGCTGAACAGCATCTCCAGAAACCACCTGCAAAGACAGAAGCAGAACAACTGATTTGGTGGAGAGATCCAATAACGAAATTGGGAAATAGGTAAAATAATAACTTGCTGTAGAGGTTATGCTTGTGTTTCTCCAGGCCAAAATCAACAACCGATTTGGACACCATCAAGACACCTGAAACCTTATCCTGAGCCAGATGCCAAGGAAGAGACTCCGTGAGGATCCCGAGGATCCCCCAGTTGCAGCCACATCAAGGCTGCCGCTGAGGAACACCCTAACTGTCATGAGCAACACCCATTGAACACAGCCACTGACCTGGGGACAGATCAAGAAGCTGTCAAAAGTGGCAGAAGAAAACCTGAGGAAAGCAGTACAACCAGTCACAATGAGTAATTTAATGGTAGCTATCATAGCAGTTATCACCACTGCTGTGAGTATTCCTTCAACAAGGGCTGACACACGAACAATTATGCTTATTGGGCATATTTATCAATCCTGTCTGGTAATAATGCCTGGATATAGTCACTTTATGCCACAGTTACACATGCCTTCTGATCTCAGTATTTTACATAATAAATCTTCTCCTATAATTGAGGCATATTGCCCTCAAAAACCTATTTGTATACAAAATAGAACCTGGACAGAAATAATGAATGTAATTGTTTAGGAAAATTTCTTTGCAGAACAGGCAGAGGTGCTGCACAATGATTCCTACGGAATCATTATTGATTGATCCCCTAAGGGGATGTTTCTCTTGAATTGAACCTCTCAGTCTGCATGCCATGGCCACATTATGTTCAGCTTCTCTGAACAAAATGTTAGGATGGTAGAAATGATAAGAAGTATGGCAAGAGTTCCTATTATCTGGAACCGTGGCGGTATAGTTACACCTCAACCTCAAATGATATGGCCTGCTGTAGGAGCTAAACATAAGGATTTGTGGAAACCATTAACACCTCTTAATAAGATCAAAATCTGTGAAAGAATGAAAAAGCATATATTGCAAAATTAAAAGAACAAATATTTAAAGCATCCCAGGCACACCCGACCTTAATGCCAGGAACTGGAGTGCTTAAAGGAGCTGCAGACAGATTAGCAGCTGGTAACCCATTAAAATGGATCAAAACACTTGGAAGCTCTGTGATTTCAGTGATGGTTGTGCTTTTAATCTGTGTTGTTTTTGTTTGTATAGTCTGCAGATGTGGATTCCTGACTCCTGCAAGAAGTAGCTCACCATGACAAAGCTGCCTTTGTTTTTATCAATTTGAAAATTAAAGAAGGGAGCATGTTGAGAACAAGCCCCCCACAAATCTGGCCATAAACTGGACCCAAAACTGGCCATAAACAAAATCTCTCCAGCACTGACATGTGCATGATGGCCATAAAGCCAACACTGGAAGGTTATGGGTTTATGGGAATGAGGGCAAGGAACACCTTGCCTGCCCAGTGCAGAAAACCACTTAAAGGCATTCTTAAACACAAACAATAGCATTCATGATCTGTACCTTAAGGACATGATCCTGCTGCAGTTAACTAGCTCAACCTATTCCTTTAATTTGGCCCATCCTTTCATTACCCATAAGGGATACTTTTAGTTAATTTGATATCTATAGAAACAATGCTAATGACTGGCTTGCTGTTAATAAATATGTGAGTAAATATCTGTTTGAGGCTCTCAGCTCTGAAGGCTGTGAGGCCTCTGATTTCCCACTTCACACCTCTTTATTTCTGTGTGTGTGTTTAATTCCACTACTGCCACTGGGTTAGGGTCTCACCAACTGAGCTGGTCTCAGCATGATTGTTAACAGAGAGTAGTAAAAACTTACACAGCCAGAGAGGACCTCAAAGCAACTCCCTTAGTAAATGTAGAAATGGAGCTCTTTCCTAAAACAAGAAACACCAAAGTTAGGGTATGCAGTAGTCCCTTTGAATTATATTACTGAGAATATGCCTCTCTTACCAGGCACCAGAGTTCAAATCACTGAGTTACTTGCCCTTGTGAGAACACTCAAATGAAGCAAAAAATAAAAAAGAAATGTTTATAATATTTATACTCATTTTAAATATGCTTTTCTGATCATCTATGACCATGCCACTTTGTGGAAAGAAATACATTTTCTGACAGTCACTCATTAAGTATCATCAGGATATACATAGATTTTTCTCCTCTTTTTCTTTCGTGGAAAGTAGTAGTACTACATTGTAGAGGACACAAGTAGGGGACTGATAAAGCAGCCAAGAAAAATAGATTGAGAAACCAGAGAGCCAAGCAAACAAATAACAACAACAACAACAAAAAAAACAGACAATTTTGCAATATACTGGAAGTCTCTCTTGCCTTAGAAAGCTTCATTAAAGAAATAAAGCCTCAGTATTCCCATGCAAAGATAGAATGGACCACTTTTGAAAGATACATTTTTCAGCACTCTAAATATTTATAATTGCATTATGAGCCTTCAGTCAGTGAAATGTTTTTAATGTCCTCCACCAAGTTTTGACTTATAAAACAACAAGAAAAAAAACTACTGAAAAGAGTCAAACAGATTCTTAATACTTTTGAAACCTGCCTTAAAAATAATCTTCTTAGGCCAGGTGCAGTGGTTCATGCCTGTAACCCCAACACTTTGGGAAGCCAAGGCGGGCAGATCACAAGGGCTGGAGATTGAGACCATCCTGGCTAACATGGTGAAAACCCATGTCTACTAAAAATACACACACACAAAAAAATAGCTGGGCATGGTAGTATGTACCTGTAGTCCCAGTTATTCAGGAGGCTGAGGCAGGAGAATCACTTGAACCCAGGAGGCAGGAGTTGCAGTGAGCCCAGTTTGCACCACTGCACTCCAGCCTGGCAGACAGAGCATGACTCCATCTCAAAAATAATAATAATCTCAAAAGACAGTTTCTATCCCTGCTGCTCAATATCTGAAAAGCTATCTAGGGAAAGATAGAGAGAAGAACTTCATTTATATGACAGATAAAGTGTGCATTTATTACGTCCTGATATGTATTAAAAACCCACAAAATATTGCAGACTTGTGGTGAGTAAAGAATGTCACTTGCTAACAGGCCCAGGATTTTCATGTTTTTGGACCTCAAGAAGAGTAAAGTTTGCCCAACTCATAGGTATTTGAAAGTAAAACCCATAGTTCTTCTTGGCTTTAAGAGTTCTTATCAGAGGTTCCTCCTGAAGAACAGTTTCGTAAAAGCCAATTTAGAGAGACTATTTAAAAATAATTATTTTTGCTGCACTTTATGCAAATACTTAGGTTAAATATAAAATTATAGTTCATTTTACTATTTTCAACTCAGGCCTAACATACTTTGTTTATTTACAGTAATAAGAAATGAAGAGAGAAAAATTATGTTTAAATCTTTTCTTTTTTCTTTTTTTTTGTGATGAAGTTTCACTCTTGTTTACCAGAGTGGAGGGCCAATGGCACTATCTCGGCTCACCACAACCTCTGCCTCTTGAGTTCACATGATTCTCATGACTCAGCCTCCCAAGTAGCTGCGATTACAGGCATGTGACACCATGCCTGGATAATTTTGTATTTTTAGTAGAGACGGTGTTTCTACGTGTTGGTCAGGCTGATCTTGATCTTGAAGTGCTGGGATTACAGGTGTGAGCTACCTCAACTAGCCTACATGTTTCAAATCTTATCATATGTTTGCCATTATATTCTCATCTCATTAGTTGTCTTTAATATTTGCCTATATTTCAGGCTATCCCTGTTGATTCCTGTGAGCCAGCCAGAAATCTCTAGCTGCAGCTAGGTTGAAAATATAAAAAGATTAATATTGAAAAATATGTTAACAATATATTTGTTGTGGGCAATTACTCTACAAATCTTGCCAGGTAATGAGAGTATATAGTGGACTCATAATTGAGGTGGTTTTGTGTTTTGGGGGATAAGACCAAGGAAGCTAAGCCAAGCCAAGCCCCATGCACCCAAAACTTGTTAAGCATATCTATAGCTATTAGTTATAAGGGCATGTCAGCAGCCTCAGAATTTTTAAGCTATCCTTTTCCTCACCTCGTCTCATTTTAACACTTTATATTTTGATAACCGAGATTGTTTCATCTCACATAGAGGCAATCAAACAAATTGTACTGCAAACGAAACCACTTATGTAAACACCGTGGTTTTGAAAAACCTTACCCTAACCTCAGTGTGAACTCCAGCTGTTGTATTTCCTTACAAGATGCCCTTCCTAGCAAAAAGTAGCTAGAAAGATCAATCCTCAATCTCCCTAACAGCAAGTAGTGTTTTCACACCTGCAGGGGACAATGAGAGAGAAACTTAGTAGGTGTCATTGGTAAAACTTCTTTAAACAGAGATGCAGCCTAGAAATGTACAGTGTTTCCAATGTACAATCTTCCGTTGCCTTGGTAGATAACCCAGATCTTTGTAAGCATTGTAAAACTGTCTCTGAGCTTTGGCTGTCATATAAAGCAGGCATACAGAAGATAATGCCCCAAAGTCAGAGACACAAACCCTTGGTAAACCCTTAAATGCTACTTCTAAATGCCCTACCCGCACCTCTTTTATAGGCTTTCTAATGCCCATGTCATCAGTTTCTCTCCCTGTTCCACCCTGTAAACCATCAATTTCAATGTGGGCCCTGTAGAAAATGCCAAAAAAACGTGGTACTACTAGATTTCAAGTTCTCTTTTCATTGCAGGGCCTTAGAAAAATAAATGTAAATCTAGTCGAGTTCTCTGATGACTCTAATAGATATATAGAGGCATTCCAAAATCTAACACAGGTATTTCATTGTATGTGGAGACATGCTATGTTAATCCTAAACCAAAGCTGCAGAAAATTTGGCAGCTTTACTAGCAGCAAAAGCATTTGAAGATGAACAACATATTTACTATACCCAGCCTAAAAGTATAAAGGGAAATAAATCTAGAAAAAGGGATGCTGAAAGACAAAACTAAGGTGAACAGATAGCATAATCTTTATTCCCAACAGGAAAAAAGACAGTGCTCTTTGAAAACATAATTGGAATCCCCGTCATTTGATAGAGGAGTGGAAAAGAATAAAAATTTAGAATGCATGTACAGGAACGCTAGTAAAAGAACAGTGCCAACGAAGAAGGTGGTGTTGAGGTTGCGGTCTGTTAGTAGTATAGTGATGCCAGCAGCTAGGACTGGGACCAAACCTCTTAATTACTCTAAGATAAACATAATAGATTAAAACTTGATGAGAATCCCTCAATCTTTATGGAAAGGCTGAGAGAGGGTGAGTAAAACACACCTCTGTATTTTCTGACTCAATTGAGCACCAGTTAATCTTAAGAAAGAGGTTTATTTTTCAGGCAGTCCTGATTAAAAAAAAAAAAAGCTACAAAGCAGGTCACATGTTCGGATAATGTACTAGTTTTACCAGTGCAACAAGATGTAACAATTCTTTTTTGTTTTAGATATTGCTCAGAGCAACACATACACATATGTACTACTCAGTATATGTAAGTGTATATATACAGTCTGGTTTGTGTATATAGATATATGTATAAATACACATAGCATATGTGTGTGTGTATATATATATGTATATGCACACACACATATATACACACACACACACACCTACACAGACACACAATTTAGAAGATTAAGGAGCATGAACACATGGGTAAAGTTTGAGGAAAACTTCAATATGCAAAAGAAGAGACCATTTCACCATCAGAAATATGGGCCCACATGAGTTGCAAACTATGAGGCAAGTGTTTAAAATTTTTATAAACTGAAAAGAGAAAGGGATGTTCTTAGTTTGTCAGCTATCTTATACAATGTGTCTTAGCCTTGGTCTTGGACCAATAAGAAAGCATAGCCTAAGACCTTGGTCTGGGACCAATCGGAGGCTGAAGTGATAATTCATAGAGACTGCTCAGGATAGCCCAAGAAGACTTAAAAATGCAAATGAAAGACTGGCTTGTGAGTTTGGCCCAGGATCAGTCAGGAGCTTAAATGATAATTCTTAGAAGCTGGACTTACTGTCTGAACAATAACAACCAATACAGCCAGTGAGAACCCACTGAATCTTGCTGAATTTATGCCTGTGAAAGGAGAATAAAATTTTCTTGTTGTGGGTGTGGGGCACTGAGTATACAAAAGACAAAAATATTCTATGCCACACCTCTTTCTTTTGTCTGTGTAAGCCTGAGTTTTGTGCAAGTTTTTTTTTTTTTCCCAGAATGGACTGGAGGTTCTTCTGTCTGTGTAGCTGCAGGAATATGTTCAGGCAGTAGCCACTGTGTTAGGTCCTGTATCAGTGGTTTCAGCTTAATTTCTTTTAAGGCTGATTTTTGTGTTCTGTTTGGTTGAGGCACTGACATATCTGCTTGGGGCTCTCTGGAAACCCTTGCCTTGCTTTTTACCTAAGGGAAGCTAGCTAACTTTTCTCAGTCTCCCCTCAGAAATAAAGAACCTAACTGCTTTAGGGAGATTAAGTGTTGATCTTTCCGGCTACTCTCTGCTGCAGAGGGGTGTTTGTAAAAAACAGCAGTTAGAATTTATTTCAGACATTGTTTCAGAGTCCTCAGAAGATAGGTGATTTTATGTGTGGTCTTACTTGCATTATTACTATTTGGAGTTGACAGCCTCAAGGAAAAAAAAAATAGAGTTACTAAAGGACATGTATTGAAACAAGACAAGTTGGCTAAGGACAGCTTAAGTGTCCCAAGCCTGGTGACACACCCTTATAACTGATGGCTACAGTTATGCCTGCTAAGATTTAGGTATATGGAATTCAGCTTTAATTAAAAAAATACAAACAAGCCTCTGTATTATGGGAACCATATTTATTTTCATCAACTGGCAGGATTTGTAGGATTTTTGCCAAGAATTATATATAATATTGTAACAAATTTTTTAATTACACATTACTTTCTGTTTACTTTGATCTAAAGTCAAAGATTATTAATTGGCTCATGGGATTCAGCAGGGTTAGTTTAAAATGTAGGCAACAACTTAAAAACAACTTATGAGAACTTATGAGACTATGCATTGATGACAGAAGTACAATAAGTTTTGAAACACATTATTTCTCTTCAGTTCATATTTTTGTAAAAAAAAATCATGATAGAACTAAATTGTTTGGAAAATAGATGTCAGTCTTCCACTTGGCCTAGTTTTATAAAGTGAAGCCAAGAATAATTACCTTTACATTTTTTTTTCAGTTGGCTTTCATGGAACTCCGTTCTGCAAGGAATCTCAGGAAGTTTTAACGCTGAGACCAGCCATGAGCTTGTACCCTTAAATACCTAAGCTGGGTAAACTCCTCTCTTATTGAGTTACCAAAAGCATGGGGTGTTTTGAGGCTTTTGAGAAAGTGATATTCTCTACTTACCACAGGTTCAGAACCCTGAATGGGAACTGTGTAGACAAGGTTTAAAGCCATTTTTTTTCCTTAAGGGACTTATGTTGTTTATTGAAGTCAAGCTTTATTCTTTTTTTTTTTTTTCAGAGGAAGTCTTGCTCTTGTCACCTAGGCTGGAATGCAATGGTGTGATTTCAGCTCACTGCAACCTCTGCCTCTCAGGTTCAAGTGATTCTCCTGCCTCAGCCTCCCAAGTAGACGGGGTTACATGTGCTCACCACCACGCCAGGCTAATTTTTTTTTTTTTTTTGTATTTTTAGTAGAGATGGGGTTTCACCATGTTGGTCAGGCTGGTCTTGAACTACTGACCTCAGGCAATCCACCCCCACCTTGGCATCCCAAAGTGCTGGGATTACAGGTGTGAGCCACCATGCCCGGCCTCAAGCTTTATTCTTTAAAGAGAAACATATCCTTTCAGTCAAAGCCTCAGTAAAATAACCAGTTTTTTTCCAGTTTTGTTTTGTTAAAACAAATTTTTTTTGCACTGATGCAAACAACTATATTGCTGTAAGTTAAGAAAAGCAAAAATTAGTTACCAAGTGTTAGAGAAAACAGGGAGGGAAAAATAAAATATTTTTATATTTTTTACAATAGTATACTTTAATCAGTTGTTGAACACTGTTGCCTGCACAAAAAAGTTCCCTTAACCCTGAAAAACAAAATACACAGAAATATTTGAAGTCAATGTTGAAAAAATGGCTTCAGTGTTTTTAGTCCATTTTCTTAAGCTTTTCATGAGTTTTGTTAATATCTAATTATAAACCTGCATTTGAGAGCAGCTGTTAAAGTCCTACAGCTAATTATAAACCATTTTTAGAAAAGGATTAAAACAAGACAATTGTCTGTAAATGACAGAATGCCTAAAGTGGTTACAGACACTCGTTGACAAAAAATGGCTATTTTTATGGTTTACAATGGCTAAACATAATAATTTTGATTAAGCTTGATAGCCTTTTTAGACCTTAGAACTTTGACACCCCATATGGCTACAAAACTTATGTTAATATTATTTACTAAAATGTAACCTGAAGAAAATTAAAATTAACTTGGTAACCACATGTATTTAAACAACTTAAATGCATAAGGTTGTTAAATACTTTTAAAAATACATGTTAAAGATGTGTTTGAAACAGGAGCCCTCTGTAGCATTTAAAATCGAGGACTCAGAAAGGACAACTCTGTAACAAAAATTTGTTTTTGAAATGCCTGCCGAATATGTACGAAATTTAAAACATTTACTGTTATAAAATATAAAGATTATCATAAGTCATTTGTTTTGCCAAAATAAATTAAAAAATTTGAAGTAACAAAAACCTACTGTTATTAGCCTTTATATTACATGAAAATCTCATTCTAGAGTGGAAACAGATTTTACTGTTGCATTAGTCCACTATTAAATTTACCGCTATTCTTTTTTTTCCTTTGTTTGTTTGAGATAGAGGCTCACTCTATCGCCCAGCCTGGAGTGGCAAAATCTCAGCTCACTGCAAGCTCCACCTCCCAGGTTCAGGCCATTCTCCTTCATCAGCCTCCATCTCTTGACCTCATGATCTGCCTGCCTCAGGCTCCCAAAGTGCTGGGATTACAGGCGTGAGCCACTGTGCCAGGCCAATTTACTGCTATTTTTAAATTAAACTTTATAGACAATTTTATCTTAATCAGTTTAACAACAGGTGAGGTTTCCATAAACTTTTAAAAACCCTTTGACAACTCTTTACAAATTTTGCTAAAGAGCAGATTAGCATCTCAAGAAAACCGTGCTGCACTTTTATTTCAATGCTTCATTTATAGAGTAACCATATAATATATCCCTTTTTATTTAATGTGTTCAGACAGCATATTCTTTTGCAAGATTAACATGTACAGTTGTTCTTCCATCTGCTTAAATCTTTAGCTTTATGTGATTTGATTTGAGAAGTCTTTATCTCTAAGACAAATGAGCATTTACATGCCATTTTATAAATTTTACTAAAAACATAGTTTACTTTTCTTATACACCTTACATGAAAATTTAATTTTAATAGTCTCAATCACATGTTATAATGGTAACATTTTGTAATTTTTCACTTGAATGTAAAACATGGTAAGTTGTTTTAATTGTGTGCTAGGTGCAGATAAAGGCTGACTCTCTCAGCATACTTAGAGGTGTGATTACTTTTATATGTCCCCAGGCTATACCAATAGTGAAGCAGGCAAGTCTATGGTTTTCAAAGGACAAAGAAGTAGTTTACATCCTTCAAACAATTAGGAAACTTACATTTTTTACCTGCATAATATAGACCACATATTAACATCTGGAAGACATTTGCATTTTATCAATAATCTTGGAGGCTGCTTTTTTTTTTTTCAAACAGAGCCTCGCTGTGTTGCCAGGCTGGAGTGCAGTGGCATGATCTTGGCTCATTGCACTGCCTCAGCCTCCCAAGTAGCTAGAATTACAGGTGCCAACCACCATGCCTGGCTAATTTTTGTATTTTTAGGAGACACAGGATTTCACCACATTGGCCAGTCTGGACTTGAACTCCTGACCTCGTGATCCACCTGCCTTGGCCTCCTGAAGTTCTGTGATTACAGGTATGAGCCACCATGCCTGGCAGAGGGTGCTTTATTTTTAAAAAGTTAAAGTCACACGAACTGAAAGCTACCACAGCCTTTATTTTTCCTTTTTATAATATTTTGGTCAAGTGGCTATCTTTTCTTAAGCTAATGAATTAGAGATCTTTTAATAAAAATAATGTATACATAACCAAACAAACCAACAGAAAATATACTAGTTATACAATTTTTTGTTTTCCATTTTTCTCATCAGATTATTCACCTATGGAGGGGTGTGTGTGTGTCTGTGTGTGTGTGTGTGTGTTTTGAGATGGAGTCTTGCTCTGTCACCGAGGCTGGAGTACAATGGTAGAATCTTGGCTCATTGCAACCTCTGCCTCCTGGGCTCAATTAATTTTCCTGCCTCTGCCTCCCAAGTAGCTGAGACTACAGGCTCCCACCCAGATAATTTTTGTATTTTTAGTACAGATGGGGTTTCACCATGTTGCCCAGCCTGGTCTTGAACTCCTGACCTTAAGTGAACTACTTGCCTTAGGATACCAAAGTACTGGGGGTGAGGCCTTTTAAGGACAAGGTTACTAATGCAGTTATCAGGGCTTAATAAACAAGCATAGCTTTAAGATAAACACAGATTATGAGAGGGGCTTATTCACCTCTTATTCCAGGGTCTTTATAAACTAAGAAGGGGAAGGAATGTGCTTATTCTGCAGGCTGTCTTGGAGAATGTGTGATTCACCTTGGCTTGGGAATTTGGCTTGAGATCAATCAGAAACCTTTCCCCAAAATGTTGGTCCAGTAGCAATCAGAGCTGATGTGATGATTACTGGAGGCTGTTCAGCTTGTCATAAAATCTATACGCAGCTAAAATGAAAGTTTGGCCCACAACTTTAAAGCAGCACAAATCAAGGGACGAAATACTTAATAGAAGACAAATCAGAATTAAGAAACAAACAAACAAACAAGCAAACAACAACAACAACAACAACAACAAAATAGTGACTGCCCGGAAACCACTGGATCCCACTGTGTTAATGTCCACAAACAGAAGAAATTCTTTTTATGGAGCCCATTGATTATGCAAAAGTCAAAGTCATTTTTATGTCAGGCCTAGTTCCCTTAGACGTGTGAGCCAGAGTTTCTGCAAGTTTTTATTTAAGTGGGTGAAAGATTCTCTTACCTTTGGAGCCATGGGCTTATCTGCAATAATAACTCCATGTACTAATTTTTATTGGTGCCTGCAGCTTATTTTTCAAAACTGGTTTTATGTGTTTTTGAAAATAAGGCACTGACCCATTAGCTGGGATTTTATGGGAAACTTTCCTTTGCTGTTTATCTAGAGCAAATCAGCTAAATTCCTTCACTGTATGAATAAGTAAGGCCTGGATTGGAGAGGAGAACAAAATGATTCATTGCAACGTTTAGAAGAAAGTTTGCTTTTTTTTTTTCCTCTAGCCACCCAAATTACTTGGGACTCCTAAATAACAATGGTAGTTAGAGCCATAGAAGCTCAAAAATTGAGAACCAGCACAGATGAGTTCTGCCTGATCATCTGAAGACTGGTCCTGGATATGGTGACCTATGTCTCTAAACAAAGGGAGTCTTTCAGTGGTCTCCATCAAAAGCTGGACAGGGTTAAGACAGCTTCTTCCAAATGCCTGGACAAGCCTTTGTCAAGTGTTCCAGCTTGCCACACTGGTAGTAATTTGCAAGTGTATTTAGGGATTATAGATCAACTGTCCTATAAAGTGTCCACTAATGCCTCTTTTGTTCTTTTTTTTTCTTTTTTTTTATTATACTTTAAGTTTTAGGGTACATGTGCACATTGTGCAGGTTAGTTACATATGTATACACGTGCCATGCTGGTGCGCTGCACCCACTAACTCGTCATCTAGCATTAGGTATATCCCCCATTGCCATCCCTCCCCCCTCCCCCCATCCCACCACAGTCCCCAGAGTGTGATATTCCCCTTCCTGTGTCCATGTGATCTCATTGTTCAATTCCCACCTATGAGTGAGAATATGTGGTGTTTGGTTTTTTGTTCTTGCGATAGTTTACTGAGAATGATGATTTCCAGTTTCATCCATGTCCCTACAAAGGACACAAACTCATCATTTTTTATGGCTGCATAGTACTCCATGGTGTATATGTGCCACATTTTCTTAATCCAGTCTATCATTGTTGGACATTTGGGTTGGTTCCAAGTCTTTGCTATTGTGAATAATGCCGCAATAAACATACGTGTGCATGTGTCTTTATAGCAGCATGATTTATAGTCCTTTGGGTATATACCCAGTAATGGGATGGCTGGGTCAAATGGTATTTCTAGTTCTAGATCCCTGAGGAATCGCCACACTGACTTCCACAATGGTTGAACTACTTTACAGTCCCACCAACAGTGTAAAAGTGTTCCTATTTCTCCACATCCTCTCCAGCACCCGTTGTTTCCTGACTTTTTAATGATTGCCATTCTAACTGGTGTGAGATGGTATCTCATTGTGGTTTTGATTTGCATTTCTCTGATGGCCAGTGATGATGAGCATTTTTTCATGTGTTTTTTGGCTGCATAAATGTCTTCTTTTGAGAAGTGTCTCTTCATGTCCTTCGCCCACTTTTTGATGGGGTTGTTTGTTTTTTCTTGTAAATTTGTTTGAGTTCATTGTAGATTCTGGATATTAGCCCTTTGTCAGATGAGTAGGTTGCGAAAATTTTCTCCCATTCTGTAGGTTGCCTGTTCACTCTGATGGTAGTTTCTTTTGCTGTGCAGAAGCTCTTTAGTTTAATTAGATCCCATTTGTCAATTTTGTCTTTTGTTGCCATTGCTTTTGGTGTTTTGGACATGAAGTCCTTGCCCATGCCTATGTCCTGAATGGTAATGCCTAGGTTTTCTTCTAGGGTTTTTATGGTTTTAGGTCTAACGTTTAAATCTTTAATACATCAATAAATGTAATCCAGCATATAAACAGAGCCAAAGACAAAAACCACATGATTATCTCAATAGATGCAGAAAAAGGCTTTGAAAAAATTCAACAACCCTTCATGCTAAAAACTCTCAATAAATTAGGTATTGATGGGACGTATTTCAAAATAATAAGAGCTACCTATGACAAACCCACAGCCAATATCATACTGAACGGGCAAAAACTGGAAGCATTCCCTTTGAAAACTGGCACAAGACAGGGATGTCCTCTCTCACCACTCCTATTCAACATAGTGTTGGAAGTTCTGGCCAGGGCAATTAGGCAGGAGAAGGAAATAAATGGTATTCAATTAGGAAAAGAGGAAGTCAAATTGTCCCTGTTTGCAGAGGACATGACTGTATATCTAGAAAACCCCATTTTCTCAGCCCCAAATCTCCTTAAGCTGATAAGCAACTTCAGCAAAGTCTCAGGATACAAAATCAATGTACAAAAATCACAAGCATTCTTATACACCAACAACAGACAAACAGAGAGCCAAATCATGAGTGAACTCCCATTCACAATTGCTTCAAAGAGAATAAAATACTCTTTTGTTCTCTTGTGCCTCTACTCATTTTCCTGGCCTCTTTCTCCTGTTTCTCGTTGTGGCATACGGAGGAAGTAAATCCAAGAAGGTTTTCCATTGTACTCTCTGATTCTACAGACTACTTTGTAGTTTTCCTCTAAAATTAACAGCTGCTTGATAAATAACTTTGTCTTTTAAGATTATCTGTGTCTCAGTTGAATTAGAGAAATAAAAAGATGTGTTTCACTAAAGTTTTCTCAACCTTTCCAAAAAGGATGATAAATTTTTATCTTGTTTCTGATTCAACAAGAACGTTTTAGAGTAATTAAAATGTTTATTTCTGGTATTTTGCAAGTCTT
Organism: Homo sapiens; assembly: GCF_000001405.40. Lineage (NCBI taxonomy): Eukaryota > Metazoa > Chordata > Mammalia > Primates > Hominidae > Homo > Homo sapiens. Next base: position 9,133,271 of record NC_000024.10, on the reverse strand, counting down.
TTAATATGCACATTAAAAAGTGTTTTTTTTTTTTTTTTCATTTACCTTAGCACCACTAGGGCTCCAATTCAGATTTTCAAAAATCATTGTTTCTCTTCCAATTGGAAATGGGGTCACAGTTTCTATTTTACTATTTTGTTTAATCTTGACTTTTTTTTAAATTTGACTGGTTGCAGAATACTTCTTGTTCATTTCCAAATCTCTCTACTGCCTTTAGCACTGCCTGTTTCTTGACAAAAGTTAGGATATAGCTTTAAAGTAGTGTAGCACTACTACACATAAGATGAAACACTTGGGTTGATTTTTAGAAGCCTCATACACTTATTAATGTCATCAGATAACTTCCTTAAGTCTTTTTTATTTAATTTATTTAATGTCCTTTTGTGAGAAAAAAAATTTGAATGTTAGTAGCATGAAGTTCATTGAGCATTTTCTGCCCCACTGAAGTTGTAAACTTTTTGGGTGACACAACTGAAGAAACTGATAATATGGGTGCTGGGGGTCTTTTATAAGGGAGGCAGATAGAGCACCCAAAAGTTGCATTTGAGAATTCTTCAAAAGTTTATAAATCTGCCTTTTGTAGACTTGCTTGTAATGGAATCAGGTTCATTTTACAAAGCTTACAAAGATCTCAGTTGTCTGGAATAGCAAGTGAAGATGTTGTCATTGGATACCATTGAAATTATGTTTTTTCCAAGAAGTTCAGAACTCTTGTTTATAAAATGTCCAAGTCTTTGTGCAAAATGATATAAGCCACTTTTTTTCTCCAGAGTCTCAGAGTCAAAGAAGTTCTCATGTTAAAAAATAAACTTCAGGGGAGTATAGACTGTATACAGTTTTTTAAGAGGTAGAAATAGAGAGGATATTTTCTAAACCCTTCAGTTGTAGTTGTGGAGACCTGGTATTTAAATATCCCAATTTAAATATTTTTGAAAGTTTCACTCTTCTACTAGGTAATTTTAGCTCATATGGACACCATCATTCTAATGGCTTCAGGACAAAGCTTTGTCTCCCCTTAGTTAAAACCAATGTTAATCCATAGGTCTGGCCACATCAAGGAAATATTTGCAGAGCTACAACTGCTATACTTGTCCAGATTAGCTTAAGAGTTTTATTTTATTTTTTACCCTAGCATTAGGCAATATCTTTTATAGACAAAAGGTAGATAATGGCTGCCATCAGAGATAACCTAAAGGCCAAATACTTCCTTGAACTCTGCAACGTCTTAACAACACTCAAATATTAGAGGTACAGAAACACAATGAAGAATGGAGGCTAGATCAGAACCTCTGTCTCATTAATAAGGCTGTTGAAAACCCAAAACATTAGTAAAGGAGAGAATTAATCCCATCTCCTTCTTTCCCATTCCCAAAACACTCAAACATCTAAAAGGATCACTGGACATTATAAGTTTTTGAGGATGATGGATACCAAGGTTTGGTGAAACAGCTATTTCTTTATATTATCTTATAAAAGAATCTCAAGCAGCTTTGGCTTTCTTCCTGACATAGGAAACTAAAACTCAAATACCTTAACCAGATCAAACAAACCTGACAAAAAGCACTGGCCCTCAGTGTACCCACAAATAAGTCATTGCATCTTTATGTCTTATAAAAGAAAGGGATAGCTTAGGAGTTTTAACTCAAGCTTGAGATTTGGCCCAGCAACCACTAAGTTACATAAACATAGAGCTTGACTGGGTGGCTAAAGCATAGACAAGTTGCCTCCAAGCAGTTGTAGTGGTGGTCTTGCATGTACTGCAAGCCAGTAAGTTGAGCATGGGGAATATTCTAACTGATTACACCCCACGTAATGTAGGGTGTCCTCTAAAGGAAGTCTCTGGATAACAGATAATCACCTTGTCAAAGATCAAACTTTGCTTCTAAGGAATCTGCAGTTCCATTAAAAAACCCATAACCTATTCCCTTTCCTTTAAGAAGTAACCTGAAGAACCTGAACATGACTGTGAACAGGTAGTAGTGAAAATCTGTGCAGCCAGAAAGAACCTAAAACTAATTTCTTTAGAAAAATAGTCTGAACTTTCATTAGAGGGAAAAGTTATTTTGTAAAACAAATACCTCTAAGGCAGTGTGTGCAATATTCACCCTGATTTATATACTTGACAGCATGCCTCTATGACAAAGCACAAGACTTATTAGCTATGTTAATTGTCTTTTAACCATTTAGAGAAAAAGGCAGTGGACACATACTGATTCTAGGTATGCTTCTTCTGGCTCTCTATGCCCATGCCACTATTTAGAAAAAAAAAAAAGACATTTCCTGACTGCTAATGGGTCTTACATTAAATATCACCAGGAAATAGATTATTGTCCTCAGTTTTTCTTTTTTCTCCTTTCTTTCTGGGAAGTAGCAGTAATATATTACAGAGGACACCAGAAAATGATTAATAAAATAGCCAAAAGCAAAAAAATAGGTTGCCAAGTCAGTAGCAAAAAGAGCCCAAGTTCCCAGAATATTTAAAGCCTTTCTTATTTGGGAAAGTATTATAGAAGAAATAAAGCCTCAGTATCTCCCTGCAAAGATAGAATGGGCTACTTCTGGAGAATCAATTTTTCAGACTGTTGTATGGTTACAAATGAAAGGCAGAAAACCCCACTTGTCAGCGTCCAGTCAGTGGAAAGTTCTTAATGTCCTTCAGCAAACTTTTCACTTTACAAAGAACATAACTTATCAACTGATCCAGAGAATGTTCTCCAGTAAAAATCTACTGAAAATAGTCAAACAGTTTGTAAATGCATGTGAAATATAACTTAAAAATAATCCCCCCAACAGATAGCTTCTCCTCCCTCAAGCTCAAAAAAATGGAAAGAATCCTAGGGGAAGGTTGGCATATAGACTTTACCCATACACCCAAAATACAGAAAACCCAGTATCTGCTGGTATAGGTAGACAGTATCCCTAATTGTATGGAGGCATTTTTATGTAGAACAGAAAAATCCTCTGAGGTAGTAAAAGAAATATTTGAAAAAATAATTCTTTGCTCTGGCCTCCCTCAGTGCCTCCAAAACAACAATGGCTCCTCATTTAAAGCCACCATTACCCAGCGAGTTTCAAGAACTCTGGGCATAGAATATAATCTTCATTGTGCCTGGAGACCACAGTCTTCAGAAAAGGGGAAGAAAATAAATTATATCATCAAGAGATTCCTCAGGAAGCTTCCTCAAGAAACTCATCTCTTTTCAATTACTCTTTTTCATGGCCTTAGTGACAGTGAAGTACATCCCTACAAAGCTGGCTTTGAACTACTTTAAATTTATTATGTATGGCCTTCTCTTAACATTGATATTTTAGTAGATGAGTGACTTCTGAATTTTTTAAACATATAAACTCCCTGACCCCACTTTCAAGAGGAATGAAAACATCTTCAGAAGTACAACCCCAAAAATCCAAATCCCCCTCTATTCAACCCAGAAGAGTTGGTACTGGGGTAGGCTCCTCCTCTTTCTCTCCTGTCCCTACACCCCAGTTGGGAGGGACCTAATACTATTCTTCTCCTTACTCCCTCAGCTGTGAAGATGGTGGAAATTGACTCATATTTATTTCACTCGAGTGAAAGCCTGGAAAACAGTGAAAGCAGTCCCTGACAGTCTAGAAGTATTACAATAAAAAATCAGATACAATTATCTAATACACAATACTTATAGAAATTACGTTTCTTACTTTACCTCTTGCAGTGGGGTTATAAACTGAAGCACCTTCTGAGTGAAGTATCAAACAGAGAGTCTCAATTACCATAATATTTTACTTAATCATTATTATTATAGCAAAAATAGTAGTGACAAATAAAAAATAAACATGAAGATTTTGTTACTGTCAAGTTTACTAACATTTACTGTTAGATGTAGCACTGACACGCACCCCAAGGTCCCTACAATATTAGCCATTGCCCATCTATACAAGAAGACAAACTTCTAGGTTTGCCTTGAAAAATTTTATCAGATTTAAAACAGACGCTTTAATTATATGAACTCAATATATTAGTATTCTATCTGTTAGTTTCACCTTTAACAATTAAGCACTTGAGAGGGATGAATGGAATCTTGTATGGAATCACTTTTAACTCCATCCAGAAAGACGTATTTCTCGAATGTAAGACTCAAACTCTTAGGCTAGGTGAAGTTGATAGAATAATAGCAAACACCTTTCTCTGCTTTAGAGGCAAAAGGAACCACACTTGGAGAATCTCAAATATGGCAATGCCATCTTGTAATTGCTGAGAGTGTGGAGATCTGGAGAGTAAAAGCACAGGTGACCTCAAACCTTGGGAAAGACTATGAAAAAACATTAACAATCTAACCAGACTTTTCCTTTGGTATTTCTAGTAGAAATTATTACCCATAGGCAGAAATGTTGCCTCTTTCCAACATTATTATCAGATAATAAATAATACTTGTTTCCAACCAAATGTGCCCACAGATGGAATCCTGAACCCTTGTATAATATATTATAATGGTGGCATCCTACATGTATGCAGGAGAACTGGAAACATCTGAACTAATAGCCCCTGTAATGAGGATTACCAGAGATACTGGGCAGAACATGCTGTGTCTCTGATTTTCTGAAACTCCACCTGCCAAAAAGATTATTCCAAACCAGCAGGCAGAATTCCAGTCAACACGCTGAATAACTGTACTGAGTATGGATATTACATCTCCTCTTAGACATAGGAGGGGCAACTTTACAAGATATAAACTAAATCTAGCAGGAACCCTCACAAATGACAACTTAGAACCATCTGTTTAGGAAGTGGGGCTTTACTTTCTCTGTGGCCCCTGGCTACATTTAATCCTCCCTGGGCACTAAATGGGAACAGGTACTATAATAATAGTGATCCTGGTATGTTACTTTTATATTTCACCAAAATGACACCATCATCTGGTGACATTTTCAGTTGAGACCCTTTTTCGGAGTAGATTCTCTTGCACACACAAAAATAAATCACTTGTCTCTATGCCATCACATGGAGTTTTGAGGGAGAGAATTGAGGAAAATATGACACTATAATCCTATACTGTAAAAATTAAAATTGAAACATGCAAGACCAGGTGGCCTATTTTGATTTCTCTGTATACTTTTCTTGAAAAATTAGCCATTAGTATTTTCATCATGATGCAACAAGGGTGGAAGGCAACTGTAGAAGCCACAGAAGCCTAATGCCAATTGGTAAATCTCCTAGCCTCAGTGATAATGCAGAATAATTAAACTCTGGATGGCTTTTTGGCCTGAGTAGAGAATGCCTATGCACTATCCAATGAGACATGCTGCTTCTGAATCAGCACTTTTAGTCAGGTAAAAATATAAAGAAATAAATACAAGTGCTAAATGACCTACTTAAAATCGTCAGTGGACTGAAAGAAAGTGAGGACTCTGTTCCAGTTGGCTACAATCTTTTCTTAATAGATTTAAGTCTTCTCTTTAGACCTAACTAGCTCCTTTGTTAAGACCTCTTTTCCTTGTATATGTGGTGTTAATGTTTGGACCATCTATACTCAATGGTATAACCAGAATTATTTCTTCTCATCTAGAGGCTATCAAGCTCCAAATGGTGATGTGTGGATTCACTTATCTACTGAGGACACTTATACCAGCCCCAGAAGAGACCCTAACTTCTGTAACTTAAATAATACTTATCTTTAGAAAAAAGTAACCAGAAATATTGTCACTCCAATTTTTTTTTAATTGAGATAAAGTCTCGCCATGTCACCCATGCTGGAGGTACAATGACATGATCTCACCTCACTGAAACCTCTGCCTCCTGGGTTCAAGCAATTCTCCTGCCCCTGCCTCCGGGGTAGCTAAGATTATAGGTGTGTGCACCACACCTGGCTAATTTTTTGTACCTTTAGTAGAGAAGGGGTTTCACCATGTTGACCATGCTGGTCTCAAACTCCTTAGCTCATGATCCACCCTCCTCAGCCTCCCAAAGTGATTGGATTACAGGCATAAGGCACTGCACCCAGCCCATCACTCCACTTTCCTAACAGCAGTTAGTGTCTCCATTCCTGAGAGAGAAAATAACAGAGAAATGTTAAGCAGTTATGGTGGAATATTGGTAAAATATCTGCAAGCAGAGAAAAAGCCTGATAAATCAAGCTGCAGGCACCGATAAGAAAACTGGATCAAACATTGGCCCATTCGTATATATATATTTTTAAAAAGGCCAAACATAGACACACCTTTATTGTTTCTAAGAAAAGCCTGCAAGTACTCTGGTGAGAGAGCAAGGTTCAACATAAAAATTCCTGTGTTCTTTGCAAAGACAGTAGGCTTCCAGGAAAGAGTCTATTCTTTGTCTGTGGGCATGTACACAGTTGGCTTCAGTGGGTTATGCTGGGCACTTTTCTTTCTATTTTTTAACATGCTTTTCACTGGGAGGTGAGTTTCTACGAGTCATTACTTCAGCCTCTGATTGGTCTCAGCCTAAGATCTCAGGACAAGGTTTAACTTTACCTCCTGACTGGCCCTGGGCCAAGGTGCCAGGAAAATCTGAATAGCCTCCATGAATAATCATTTCAGCTCCTGACTGGTTCTGGGTCAAACTCTGAGCAAAGTTTAGTCATGCTGTTTCAAACTAGTCATCACATTTCTTCTCTTCTGAGCTTATACAAACCTCCAACCCTGCCTCATAGTGGGTAATCTACTTGGGCCCCACTCTCCACTGCAGAGAGCTTCCTTCATTTGCTTATTAAACTTTTACTCAAATGATAGCCTTTGTTTTCATGATTTTTAATTTTTTCGCTGTGAGAAAACAAAATAAAACCCTGGGTGATACCTTATAAAAAGAATCTGCTACATTGTGTATGGTGAATTTGTGAGACTGCAAGAGTACTAAAATTTACATTTTTTTTCAGGAGTAAAGCCCTGTTTATCCTGGAGCTAGTAACATAATCATGCCCTTGTGCATGAGAATATAAATCTCTTTTGTTTCAGAGTCTCAGGATTAAGAGAATCACAGTTCTTCAGTATACACTTGAGAAAAGTGCAATCTAAAGATGGTTTATTATGTATCTGGGAAAGGAAAAACCAGAGGCATTCCTCCATCTTCTTCCTTCTTTCAAAGTGACCCAGGGAGGAGAGAGTGATAGAAAGGGCATCTCACTTCTCCACTTTCTTTACATCCTCTGCGTCACAGCCACCCTTACAGGTGGAGCCTATAAACGCAAGCATAATTTTCACCCATGTATCTGGAGGGGCTAGTCTACAGAAGTATCATCCTCACTTTTCTGAGGCTAGAGCTCTTTTCCCTTCTGCATTTTCTAGACTCACCGGGATCATAAGTCTCCCAGGGTATTCTAAAGGTGTGGGAGAGACTATGCAGTAGTTGGATTTCAGTGAGACCTCTTAATGGAAAGAGTGTTTCTAACACCCATTTCTACCTTCTGTAGCTATGGCTCTAGTAAAACTACGGATTTCCAAATAATGAGACCAATTGACTACTATCCATGTAATTCATCTTTTTGTTGTTAAAACGCCAATGTAACTCACTTTAGCAAAACTATCTTGGCCGGGCGCGGTGGCTCAAGCCTGTAATCCCAGCACTTTGGGAGGCTGAGGCGGGCGGATCACGAGGTCAGGAGATTGAGACCATCCTGGCTAACAGGGTGAAACCCCGTCTTTACTAAACAAAACACAAAAAATTAGCCGGGCGTGGTGGCGAGCGCCTGTAGCCCCAGCTACTCTGGAGGCTGAGGCAGGAGAATGACGTGAACCCGGGAGGCGGAGCTTGCAGTGGGCCGAGATCTCAACACCGCACTCCAGCCTGGGCGATAGAGCGAGACTCCGTCTCAAAAAAAAAAAAAAAAAGAAAAAAAAGAAAAACCATCTTAATAACATAAAACTAGAATGACTATCTTTCCTCCTATGGGGGCAGCAGTTAGGCCTGAATTTTTCATTCAAGGGTTTTTTTTTTTTTTCCTGGTTATTGAAAAAGAATTTTTTCTGTGTGTAAATCAGGCATGGAGACTGATTTTGAAAAAAAGAACAAAGAAGAGAGAGGTATTAGGAGACTAGAGGGTTTATACAAAGAGCTAACAGAATGGACACATGGAGAAATAAATCCAACTAGGTGGTGCTATAAGGTTTGAATGTTAGGTAAAAACTGACGTCAATTTTTTTTTTCCAGGCAGAAGTTAGAAAAAGAGAATTAGGGCTTTGTAGGCTGTTCTCATAGTATGCCTTCTACTACAAGAAAACTGTCTTAAAAACCATGGAATATTTTATTTCTCATTTTCCCCACAAGGCCTTTCTACTGGATCCCTGATGCTCATAAGTCAGAGGAAGGTTTTTACTTACCTCTGCTTCCATCTGTCCCCCAGTGAGGTGATGGTGCTTAGTGTGTGCTGAGTAGAACGCAGGTCTCGTCCTCTAAGGCAGCCGGTGTTGAACACGTGGGAGTTTCCATGGTCAGAAAAGGTGGCATCGCCTGCCCCCTGTGGTTGTCATGGTGCGGGAACCATTCGCCCCCTCCTGGCTTACCTGTGGCACCAAATAAAGGCAGAGTTCAGATTGTTCAGTGCCATCATTTTGGAAATTCAAATGGAAATGGAGCCTATTCTCATGTGCTTGTGTGTGTGTCTTTGTGTGTGTGTGTAACCATAGGAAATAAAATGAACACAGTTGCAAACTTTCCAACTTAGCATTAATTTTTCCACAACATAGTCCTGAGAAATAAAATGTAAAATTATACAAATTCTCAAAGAAAGCAGAGAAAGAAAGGGATGTAACCTTGGGTTTGGTCATGAGTTTTAACATGTGACATAAAAGCCGATTCATAACAGAAAAAATAATTAGCATTATAGACTTTCTCATATCAAAAGTTTATACTCTGAAAAATCTAGTTCAGGAAATAGACAAGCCACAGCCAAGAAGAAATATCTGCAAAATACAGATCTAAATAATAACTTTCACTCAAAATATACAAAGAAATATTGACACTCAGCAATAAAATAGACTACCAATTAAACTAGTAAAGAGCTGAGCAGTACATCATCGATGAATATACACAGATGGCAAGCATACAGAAACATGTTCAACTTCATATATCATTAAGGGACTAAAAATTACAACGAGATGGTGTGGCCCATCTATATTTGTTGGAACTGCTAAACTGTTTTTAAACCATGACAAATGAATTGCTGGAGGAAAAAACAGCATTGCATTCATTGCTGGTGGAATGCATGATGGTACAGAAATTATGAAAGACAGTGTTGAAAACCAGAATATGCCTCCCCAATATATGACTATAGGAGACCAGAACATGCCATCACAAAATATGCCACTTGGGTATAAAAATCATTTTGAACCTATTATTTTAAGAAAATGCAGACACAAGGGAACTGAAAACAAAGCAGAACTTACCCATTTGTAAAGAAAATGTACATCTACTAAGGAAATCTTCATTTTAATGGAGTCTCCCTCTCAGTACCAATAAGAGAATGGTGACTAAATCAATAGAGGCTCTCCTTAAAGACTTCCAGAAGCACCCTCACAAATATACCCAGAAATGGTACTCTACCAGCTATGTGTGTATCCCTTAATCCTGTCAAGTGAACACCTAAAATTTACAATCACAATTTTTATGCCTGATTTGTGGCTAAAATTTTAGAACTAAAGCTATAAGATATCTGTTTAGATCTATCTGTATGTGTGTTTGCATATCTTTTCTATAGGTGACATTTTCAAATCTCTGGATGGCATTGCAAACAATTTCTAAAATCATTTAAAGGTGCTCTATTCTAAATTGGCTTCAAAAAAGTAAGAAATTATAAGTAAAATATTAACAAAACACTCAGAAAATACAGAAACTGATCCAAATGTTTTCCAAGTGCAGATTATTTTGATAAAACTTAGGTGAGTAGCACTATTTTAATAATTTTGACTCACTAAAACAAGTATGTCTTCAGAATTTTCACTATCAAATAATAAAACATACATTTTTATTCTGTTTTGTTACCAGTCAAACAAACCAGTATTATATTCACTAGATATTTAAAATCTTAAAAGTTATATTTGATTTTAATTAAGTTGTCATTTTTATGACCAACATTATTGTAGTAATAATTATGTTTTACAGCATATCTAATAATAATTTATAAAATCTTTCTAGTGATTTGCTACCTTAAAGCTACGGTAAGTGAAAGATGTTTATTAAATTTCTAGAATGTTTATAAATGAGATAAAATGCTAAACCTTTAATTATTAAACATAAATTGAACTGTATATACTTGTAGCTTCTTATTTTTACAGAGAGACTGAAGATATTTTGATCTTTTTAAAAACATTATTTTCTACAATAATGAGTCATTGCCTTATTAGTATAGAGGACACATATGCCTCTAGAAATTATGAGATGGTGTATTTATAAATTTTCAATCTACTATGGAATGCTAGCATTTGACAAACAGTATGAAATGAGCAGTACACAAAATACACGAATAAGAAAAGATGCTTAAACTTTCTTGGTTGTATTTGTATTGGTAAAATGTTATCTTTTCAGAAACTGTATGGAATTCCTGGAAATTTGTAAATGTCCTCCCTATCTATTATATGCCCTAGTATAATATTATGAGTCATAATTCTAGTTACTATTTTAAATTTTGTATGCCACAGAAGCAGACAAATTCCTGTTTAACTGTGATATAATGAGTTTCCATTACAGTTTTAACCATGGCCATTGTACACCTTTTGTAATGTACAGGTAGGTAGTATTTCAATCTCATGTTTTCCCAAGAGGTTCTGCATCTGCGTTGGCTACAGGTCAGAATGTTTGTCTTCAACAAAGAACTTCCTCAAGACCAATGGAAACAACAATGATGGGTCCTCTGGATATAAAAATCTGATGTCAATTGTTAAATAACTTTAAGATTATAACACAGGACTGAAGAACAATATCCAGAGCTCTAGTTGACAAACTGATGGGTTCATGGCACTGCTAACCCAAGATTAAACAATATGGGAATTGATTACATTGCACTGAATGAACAGATAAAGAATGTGTAAAATTTTACAGCTTTTTTTGATTTGGAAGTCTGCTGGTTCTTTAATATTCTATATCTCTGGATTTAAGAATTTTTTTATTAAGTTAACTATAACTCATAACAATTTAATAGATTATACTTTTGTAAACAGAAGTGGAACATTTGTAAACCAAAAATGAAATTTTAAGCCCAATCTGCCCCAGCCATCTGAATGGACCCCTCTTTTTGGCTAAGGGTATTCCAAAGTTGGTTCAGGTCATAAAAGGGAGAAGGATCAGACATACTTCATTATACACTCCTATCTTTTGCAATTCAGAAAAAGTTAACCATCATTAACATCAACACAGACCTTACGTCTGATAAGAAATATTTATAATCTTTTCTCTGGGTTCCTCTTCATGATAAAACTTTGGTTTCTATACCCTTTGTTATTTATTGTAACCCAGATATTTCTTTCTATTGATTCCATGTCTCTGGATAACTTAAATCTTTAAACCAACTGCCAATCAGAATGCACCACCACCCATTTTAAGTTGTCCCACTTTTGGGAACCAAACCAATGTATATCTTACATGTATTTGATTGATGTCTCATGTCTCCCTAAAATGTATAAAACTAGGTTGTTCCCAGAACAGCTTGGGTACATGTTTTTCATAATCTCCTGAGAAGGGTTCTGTCATGGGTAACTGGTCACTCTTATTTGACTGAGAATAAATCTCTTTAAATATTTTACAGAGTTTGAGGGTTGTCATCAGCACATTTCTCTTTCATCTCTCTGCCCATTCCTCCAGAATTCTGAAACTCTTATAAAATGTTCTCATTTTCATGACAATACAGTTATTTGCAAAAGTTCAATGAACATCTGTTCTCCTTTTAACAGGACATACTTGAGAAATTTGTTCATATTACGGAGGCTTTCACTGGAAGTCACATCTGAACAATACAGGCTCATGGTTGAGTACTAACTGACCTTTAATAGGTTCTGATTTTATTTAAAATTGTGAAGATTGAGAAAAAAGGAGACCAAATTTCTTTAATTAATATGCTATAATATCAAAGTTTGATAGAGTTAGTATATCTCAGCTAAAGTAAGATGTTAATCTTTATAAAACAGCATTTTCAGTACCATAACAAATTCATTCTCAATTAAACTGTGACGTCTAAACAAAAGAAAAATGGTTGCTAACAAGGTATACATCGTATATTTGAACTTAAATAATGATTTAAGTTCCAATATACCTACTTAAAATTTTTTTCTGGCTGGGCACCATGGCTCATGCCTGTAATCCCAGCACTTTTGGAGACCAAGGCGAGTGGATCATGAGGTCAGGAGATCCAGACCATCCTGGCTAACTCGGTGAAACCACATCTCTACTAAAAAAAAAAAAAAAAAAAAAATTAGCTGGCATGGTGGTGGGTGCCTGTAGTCCCAGCTACTCAGGAGGCTGAGGCAGGAGAATGGCATGAACCCGGGAGGTGGAGCTTGCAGTAGGTGGAAATCATGCCACTGCTTGCCAACCTGGGGGACAGAATGAGACTCTGTCTCAAAAAAAAAAAATGTGTATTGTTTCAACTATTTTAGCACTGTAAGAAAATGAACCATGAAAGCCTGAGTAAAAGTGATGATGGAGGGTGTGATGTGTCCCTGACCTTGACCCGTCACAGTGGTGCTGCTTAGTACCCCTCCTTTCTCTGTACCAGGATTTCTCCCCAGAAACAAGCCCAGATCATCTGTGAAGCACATGTTGGTGGCTGTGACAATGCAAGATCACAGCCTCACTCAAGAAACAATTTTGTAAAGTCAGAGTTGGAGGCCAGGGGTGTGGAAGTAAGGCCCAGGGCAGTGATCCCTCCTCAGTACTGGGGGCCACAGACAGAACACTTTTTCCTCAGCTTTCCTCACCTGGCAAGCAGACTTCCCAATGTTGTGGCCTTTCCAGGGGAGACGAGATGTCATCCTTACTGTGGATGCAGATCCAGGTATCCCAAGTGCACTGAAGTCATGTCCTGGGTGGCATCTGAGGAGAAGGAAGGCCTGTTTGATGCCCCCAGGATGCTGCCCTGCAGTGTGTTGCATGGGCTCCTTGCATCTTCTCCATGATCCCCTAGTGGCAGCCATAAAGAATCTCTGAAATATGGGGAGGATGAATCCAGCCAGTAATCTCAGGAAGTGGAAGTGAAATAGAGCCTACCTTCCTGTGCCTTGATAGGAATGAAGACAAGAAGAAGCAAAGAAGATGGCCAATAGACCAAACTCCATTGATTTTTCTCTATATCAGCAATAATGGATAGGAATAATTGAATTTGAAACATTAACACACAATTTACAATAGTACCCCCAAACTGAATCAATTTGTAGGGATTCAATCAGGCTGGTGGAAAAATTTTAAGGATGGTTATAGATGCGTACACAAAACTTCTTGGAAGGCCTGAAGGTTATTACCAAAGTCTCAGGATAAGGTTATGGATGAAGGCAATCTAATCCTTTCATTGAGTAAATGGCTTAAAGTGAGTACAAAGAAAGGTAGAGTAGGTTATCTAGCTAGCTTGTTTACTCATGTGGTCTTAAAACTAACGTTTGATGTACCATGGGTCCTTAATTGCTTTCTACTCAGGACATCCCCAGTATCAATTACCCTCTAGTAGTGTTTACTAAGGATCTTTGTCAATTAATCTTTACATAATAAATGCGAGTTTCACTGACTGATCAAAGTCAAAGTCACAAGTGTTTACAGTACTCTCCCGGGAGTGTGTAAGCAGTTCAGACACTCAGCTGGACTGGCATACCAGAATATTTGTTTGTCAATGTACTTCATTCATTCATTGCTAGGTCAGGGTCTGTAGGTCAGACCCCTGCATGAGGAGTGCTACCACAGTTGGTGCCCTTGTCTGAGGAACACTGTGAAGGGAATGTGATGGATCCCCCAAAAATGAAGGTGAAGAGGGACTGCACAGTCAAGTCACTGAGTAATCAGTAAGTCATTGGTGCCCACTTGGGCTTTCCAAGTTCAGAGAGGATTGGTCAAGCTGAGGTCTCATCGTGATACAGCAGTTATCAACTGAAGAGAAACAGTAAATAAAAGTGTTGAAACAATGCTTAAGGCTAACAGAGCATCACTTTTGCAGGCTCAATTAAGGGACCAACTAATGCAAACTGTTTAATGCAAAGCCCATGATTCCTAGAAGAAGGAATGCTAGACATAGAACTCTGGGAAAAGTGGGGAAAAATCTTAAACAACATCAGAAGCAAAGGCAACAGTTCCAAGTAACAGCTTTAATATTATGGGCTTTAATTAGAGCAGCCTTGTTTCTGTTATACACAGAAGAGTCTAAAAAGGGGAAGCAGGAGAGAATGTCACCTGCCTTATCACTTCCTCTTCCCTCAGTGGCGGGCAAAAGCTGTCCAGCAGTGAACGAAGTGGCACAAGCAAAAAGCCAGCAAAGGAAGAAAAGCAGCACCTTTACAAGTGCAAAGCAGCCACCACTCAGGGACCCTCCTGGTCAGCTCTCTAGCTGTACAGGAGACACACCCACAGCAAAATACCTTGTTTCTTGTTTACAGGTGACATCCCAGATTATGATGCTCTACTAAGATTTAAGTAAAATGTAAGAATTTGAAAACCCTCTTTCTAATTGTGGCCACCATTACCTCTCCTTACACCTAACATGATTCTCTCCAAATCCAATTGAAATAAAAAAATAACCTCTAAAGGGAGAGACATTACAATAGGACCATGGGTTAGCTAAGGAATAATTACAAGTGAACTTTCCTCCCCACTAGAATAGAGTTTCCTGATTGCAAAGTCATTCATCTTATAGGTGATATTCTACTAACAGCCCTTGATATTCAGCCAATTTGTGATTCCCAAAAGTCTAGTAAATGCTTTACTGACAAAATAGTTCACTCCCTCATACCTAATGCTTTAACACTGTTTACACTTGGTTCTGATCAACATGGAAAGGCAGAAGTCTAGTAGACACCACATAATTCACTAACTCAGTCTGAGTTTACTAGCAATCAGAAAGCTAAAGTTAAAACCTTTATATTGACTCTAAAAAGCTTTTACAGCCCTTAGTAAGTCCACTCTACACTCTACCATATGTGTTCATTTTTTCTGTCTTCAGCAATGGTGAGACCAAAGTACACATCCTATTTTATTGCACATATTTAAGTATACAGCTCTCTGCCTGACCCATTGTCTTATGGCAATAATCAAGCAGACCTTCAAGTTATGACATCACTGCTTGACCAAGTCACCCAATCGCATCAATTTTTCCACCAAAATTGGAGAAACTTATCTAAACAATTTAAACTTACCCAGAGACTGGCTAAACACATTATCCTACAATGCCCAGATTGCTAGCTTACAGACACATTCCCTCCTTCAACAGGTGTTAACCCTAGAGGACTAGAACCTAATAAGTTATGGCAAACAGATGTACACACATCCTTGAATTAGGAAAAATAAGATATGTACATGTATCAGTTGACTCCAACACTCATTTAATTAGTCCACATACTCTGCCTGGAGAGTCAACTCTATATGTCATTAAACATCTTATTTTAACTTTTGCATTTATGGAGTGACCCACAAAAATTAAGACTGATAATGGTACAGCTTATGCCAGCTCACAATTTCAACAATTTTGTCACACTTGGGATATGCAACATTCCACAGGTATCCCCTATAACCCCCAAGGACAAGCAATAGTAGAACATGCCAACTTCACCTTTAAAAATGTGCTCAAAAAACAAAAAAAAAAGGCAGAAGTGGTAAAGACGCTGTAACATTATTGGCAAAGCCTTATTTATCCATCAGCTGTAGAAAAGCAATTTGCTAAAACCTCTCAAGGCATAAAACCTTCAGTTTTATAGAAGGATGTAAACGGTAATGAATTGTGTGGACCTAGTGAATTATTAACATGGAGAAGAAGGTATGCTTTTGTCCACACCCCCTCAGGTCCTCTTTGGATTCCAATACAAAGCATCAAACCATTCCATGGCAAGGCCAGGACTCAATCTGCTACCAGAAATGAAGGCATTAGCCGTGCAAGACCCACAGCCCCAAATGATGTGGCTTCCACAGAGGACACAGGTCCCAGGCATTATGCTGAAGAAACAGAAGACTAAACAAATCCTGCTCTGGACACAGACACCTTTCACTTCAGCTAATTTATTTCTTTTTAGTCTCTCACTGTGCCTACTACCTGTACCTGCTACACTCTAATAAGCCCATCTTCTAAATCTGACATTTTTCAGCCCTGTCATCTGGGGATACACTCCCTTTCCAGCTTCTAATAACATAACTGCTTGCCTGGAAGGAGTTAACAAACCCCCAGTGGGGTTCCTTAGTAACAGCACTTATCAAACTGAAGTACCAGGTCACACTTTGATTGGAAAAGAATGTTGCTAATTGTACTTATGATTGTTTTCTGTTATTTTCCAATTCTAGGATGCAAAGCCAGAATAAGAGCAATGACTGCCTCACCTGAAAAAAACTGTTCCTGCACACATCTACAGTTTCCAATCAAAAGGACATGATTCAAAAATGAAAAGAGGGAGATGTAGGAATTTAATCAGTCTGGTGGGAAATATTTTAGACATAGTTATATAAATAAACACAAACCTTCTTGGAAGGCCTGGAAGTTTTTACAAAAGTCTCAGGATAAGGTTACAGCTGAAGGCAATCTAATCCTTACCTTGAGTAAACAGCTTAAAGTGGGTACAAAGAAAGGCAGAGTAGTTTACATGGCTAGCTTGTGTACCCAGATAAAACAAACCTTTGATGTACCATGGGTGCTTACTTGCTTTCTACTCAGGAAATCCACAGTGTCAGCTATCTTCTAGTGGTGTTTACTCCCTACCTTTGTCAATTAATCTTTACCAAATAAATGCAAATCTC